>NC_000009.12:103978127-104129642 GCF_000001405.40 Homo sapiens
GCCATTTGCTTGCCAGGATGTGCTGTTTGCTTTGTCTCAACCCACTGATAGAAAATTTGTTATGTTACAGCAAAAAAAAAAAAAAAAAAAAATGTTTAAAATCACAAATTGGTATAAAACAAGTGGAAAACTCTACAAACTAGGGCCATAAGTTATATTAAATTAGCAAATTAAACTAGGAATTAGGGATTACAGAAGAATCAACCAAATAAATTGCCATGGTTCTTTTTTCTTTAGGATCAAATAGCACCTACCTGTCAGGAAATAAACAAGCCAGTGAAAGAATGTATAAAAAGTGGGATAGTCCATGAAGGTAGGGGGTGGAGAGTGAGTTGATGAGTTTGCCAGGGTCATGAAGAAAAGCTTACTTTAAAATTGAGTGTTGTAACTTAGGGCTACTTGTTTCCAGGGCTCCAAAGTTCATTGCTAAAAAGACATGACAGGGTTATACACCATAGTGTTCATCTTGTGGGCTTTTTCCTCTTTTTTCTTAAAAGAACATGGTATCATTTCCTCTTCTCCAGCCCACTCTGAAACAGAAACAAATATTCAAATCTGAATGGCCATTTTTAATAAAGTTTTATAGTTTAAAACTTATATATATAAAGTCTTATAGTTATTTTTTTATCCCTTTTCAGAAACTACTTAAGGTTAGGCCTGAAAGAGAAAAGAGGGGAAGGAAGAGTGGCAACTTATACAAGAGAAGAGGGATTCACAGAAATAATGAGTTAGTCCATGAGATGGAGGATAAAGAAGAAACTTTTACAACAGAGTTTCTCAAACAGGGTTTTCTCAAAACCTAGGATTCCACAAGATGCCACTTAGGGTTCCTTGAGAGATTGTGACTGAAAAGGAATTGAAGTTGGTTTGGGGGAACTTTGTGCTCTGTGGAACACTAGCATTTGTGGAGGTGGACAGTCACCAAGCAGCCTGGTTTGTCTTTTAGCTCTAGGTAGCACTGTCTAGCACTATGTTTACTTGGTTGAGTACATTCTCGTTTTTGACTTAGGATAGGGGAAGCCGATGATAGTTGATGAGCGTGTGATTGCATCAGGGAGAGAAGAACAGGCTTGACAACATCAGCCTCTCCCTCCCAAAATACCTTCTTCAGCCTTCCTCAAAACTGTGTTGGTTAGGTCCGGTGTTGGTTCAGGTGCCAAGACAGAGTTAGTAGTGAAGGAGATTTATTGAGGGAAATGCCTATGAAAGATAAAGGGAAAAAACAACAGATACAGGCAAGAAAACCTTTTATACTGGAATGCTGATTTGACATCTATAATCAGAGAGGGGAAGAGGGGGAATCGAATAGAAAGACTTTAAGATAATAGTGCATTTTGGTGAAAGTTTCAGGCAGTCAAACCAGGAGCACTGTCACAGAAATAGCTCATAAAGAACTCTCTCATTGGATGTAAATGAGACCCTATTACCCTGCCATACCGTCATTCACAGGAGGCTACCTGGGAAGAAAATGGCCTTGATTCAAACATTGCAGTGTGGTGTCCTCACAGCAGATCAAGTTTTTTCTTGAGATATTTGGGCAGTCTACCACCGTGGCTGCCACATCCCACACCTTTTGCTACGCGATGAATCCACTTTCCCATAAACATTTGTTTATGGAAAGGCCAACTAGATCCTTCAGGTTCTAGCTGTCTTCTCCTCCTGAAGCTTAGAAGAAGAAGATTATGGGACAAAGTTCAGCAGTTGGGCTCCTTCCTCCACTATCTATTCTAAATATCCATAATCTGCTTGTCTCAGGGGCTTAACTGATGGTGTGACCCAAACCCATCTTCCTGGAGTAACTGCATCTTTCTAGGGCCAGAGTTACTGTATTTGTCTGCCCACAGTCACAATTAGGGAAGGGAATACTAAAAAAGCACCCATGAAGATCATCTGGCTTCTACAGGTATTCTTCCCTGCTCCACTGTTTAAATAATTTGCAAACTTGGTGCTCATTTCCATATGTCCATCCACACATCTCTTCGCCAGACTTCCTTGACTCTGATCTTCCCATCCCTCTCCTTTCAGGATCCTGAACAGTGAGCCAGTCCATTGGCTACTGCTCACATGTCCGTTTATATTCTCATCTAAGGGCACTTCTTCCACAAAGGAGAATAGCTTGAGTCTTTGCCCACTGGGAATATTTTTCCTCATGACTGTATTTCCAGGCTGCTCCTGAATGTGGCTGTATTGCAGCTACTGCCCATTTTAAGACGATACCAACAAATCAAGCTGACCTATCTATAAGGCAAACTTGAGGTTCTGTATGGTCATAGGTAGAAGCAGAGGGAAGAGCATGGATGTAGTTGTGCTGATGGCATGAGGGTCTGGACTAACTGCTCATGCAGCTTACTGGTAGCCTCTGTTCCTGCTTGGTCTTGACCACAAATGTGCCATTTTCATCCTACACTGGCCTGCTGCTGGGCCTCCTTAACTTTATTGGACTTGTAGGTCTTACAGTATCCAACTAATAATGGACAGTTCTGGATGCACAGTCACTTGGTGCCTCACGGTCAAAGGTTCCATGTCTACAGGGCCCTGCTGGAAATTATTTCTTAAAAGGTATATAATTCTCTGTGAAATACAGCATGTCCTTATTCCGAACTCTAGGGCCCTGAGTTGTGATTCGCCCACTGAAATTTGTCAAAAATCCAACTCACACTGCTGATACCTTCATTACCATAGGTTCTTCTGGATCATATGGCCCAAATGGCAGAGTTGCTTCTACCACAGCCTAGCCATGCTGCAGAGCTCTTTGCTGCTCCAGCTCCATTCAGCATGAGAAGCCTTTCACGATAATTCTCATATGGATTGCTATGGTCTGAATGCTTTCCCAAAAAATTCATTTGTTGAAATCCTAACCTTAAGGTGACAGTGTTATGAAGTGAGGACTTTGGGGAGGTAACTGAGTCACGAGGTTGGAGGCCTTATAAATGGTATCAGTGCCTTTATAAAACAGACCCCAGAGAGCTAGCTAGCCAACCTCTACTATGTGACGACACAGTGAGAAGGTGCCATCTGTGAAGTAGGACATGAACCCTCACCAGACACCAAACCTGCAAGTTCCTTGATCCTGGACTACCTTGACTCCAGAGCTGTGAAAAAATAAATTTCTGTAGTTTAAAGCCAACCAAGTTATAACATTTTGTTAGAGCAGCCCAAACGAGCTAAGACATGAACTGAAGCATTACTCCTCAGTGTGAATTGTGTTTCCACCAGAATTCAAAGAGGCATACTAGGAACTGTGCTTCTTTTTAGCAGTAAGGAATGAAAGAGGTAAAAGTGTCTTTTAACTCTGGAGAGGATGTTCTATAAAAAGCCAGGCCACTGGACCCTTAAACATTTCCAAAGCTACAGGTCTCTGAATCATTGTAGGGTAATATTATCTCCCTCTATCTAAAGTACATAAGTCTTACCAAGGCCTCCAGTATACTAGCCACTTCTTGCTAAGCTTGAATGTGGCTATATTGTATCATGGTCAACATAATGTCATCAATAGAATGAATTAATGTGATATTTTGCAGTATGTTCACAGTCCAAATCTCTTCTAAGTATATTATGACAGACAGCAGAAGAGTAAATATAGTTGTGTAGCAAATCTGTGAATACATTTTCTTGTTCATTGCACATGAATACAAACTTCTTATGATAGAAAATAATTTATTTGCCAAATGAGTGGCTGCATACCATGTTCCTGAGGCCATGATAATCTACTCCAGCAAAAATATTGCATATGTCACAGTAGCCACATCAGGACTAAGACTTGAATAAGCTTGCAGTAGTGTGAAGTCATTCTCTAGAATATATACATTATCTACAGGGACAAGACCTTTTAATTTAATGGTAATTGTGATGGTTAATACTGAGTGTCAACTTGATTGGACTGAAGGATGCAAAGGACTGATCCTGGGTATGTCTGTGAGGGTGTTGCCAAAGGAGATTAACGTCTGAGTCAGTGGGCTGGGAAAGGCAGACCCACCCTTAATCTGGGTGGGCCCCACCTACCATAATCAGTTGCCAGCTGTGGGGCCAGGCTATAAAGCAGGCAGAAAAAAACCTGAAAAGGCTAGACTGGCTTAGCCTCTCAGACTATATCTTTCTCCCATGCTGAATGTTTCCTGCCCATGAACATCGGACTCCAAGTACTTCAGCTTTGGGACTGGGACTGGCTTCCTTGCTCCTCAGTTTGCAGATGGACTATTATGGGACTTTGTGATCATGTGAGTTAATACTCACTAATAAACTCATATATATATATCTTATTAGTTCTGTCCCTCTAGAGAACTCTGACTAATACAGTAATATAATAGGGCCCACCACTCCTACATCCTTAAGGTCTTTAAGAGTAGAGCTAATTCCACCCCTGGAATCCCATATTGTTCTTCATTCACTATATTTTTGGTGAGGAACAGGAGCACTCTGTTTTTACAGGCCAAGAATCTATGGTGAGGGTTATTTTAACTGCCAAGTGTGTCAATTCTAATTATGAATCGAAGAACCTGGGAAGTGATCACTGGGTGGACTGACAGAACCAGTAGTCCTTCTATAAGCCCAACTTTGACCAAGACTCCATTTATAACCTTATCCCTATAGGCTTCTACTCTAACAGGGGCCATGGTAATATTTTGAGACTCCAAGTATCAATGTCAACTCAGGCCCTGCATCCAATAACCTTCAAAGTGTCTGGACATTACTCTGTCCCTGAAACTCAGTCAAGTGAATAAATGGCTACAGGCATAGTTAAGGAAAGACTGAGGAAACCATTACAAACTATACCTTCCATGGTGTTACATGGTCCTTCCTCCAAGGGATTTGACTATGTCTTTAGTCAAAAGGTTCTGGGTCTGAAACTGACTCAAGTGGAGAATACTGGCAAAAGAACAAGACTTAAAATTAAGGTGCCCATCCACAGTCTCTTGCATACGCACACTTACCTCCTTTTGATTGTATATATTAAGCAACACTATTGTTGTCTCCTAATGTATATTACCATTAGGGCTATTATATTCTATTAACCATCTCCAAGCCTCCTTACTGCCCCTCTGAACTTGTGAATCATTATATTAATAGAAATATCCTTGCTGTGTCACATATGTCATCTTCATTATTATTAATAAGCAAAGGTTTTGATCACCTCTCCTACAATTAGCACTTCCACATGCAGAGGAGAGCTACCACTATACTCCTTAGGGATGATCATGCCCATCTCTCTAGTGCATTCTTGAAGGCATTGTTGAATGGTGTTTTTCCTGAAAGTTCCCATTAATTCCTAATGAATTTTCTGGCTTCATATAATATATCTGTTTCAGCATGTCCATTTCCTTGAGTCTTTTAATTCCTTCCAGCATTCTTGGCTTTGCATGCCTCCTACTTACTTACTGGGGAGAAGAACTCCTCTGATATAATAGGCAGTAAGACAGAATTTTTCATTATAAAAAAGGGCATCTCTACGTACTGTAACTCAGCTGTCCTATTGTTGCTTTGCTGTTGTTATAAATGTTGCAAAACATGGATTGTTGCCTTGCATGGATTATATGAGTTAGAAGTAAATTGCCTTATGATTATCAAGTTCTCCTTTTGCAATATTCTCAATTAGTTATTTATTATAACCTTTTGTTTTATACTTTATTCATCTTTATATTTTGCAAGTAACTCTGATGGTCTGATGTAGCAATTTTTGAAGACAAAATGTGCTGAGAAAAAGAAAGATTTTAGACTTATGTTTATGAACAATTATGAACAATTCTCATAATGTTAATGATGAGGAATTAGAATCTTCTGGATTATTTATCTGCACTAGCATATCAAGAGAGCAAAAAATTACGTGTTTACAAGGAAAGCTACTTATCCTTGGGTTTCACATGGTCGGGTAATCCAAGTTGCCACACCCATTCCATGTTGTCTGTGGCAGACAAGTTAGAATGTTGCAATGCCATGAGAAATCTTGAAAAGACACTTAACTGCAAATTACATCCATTTGACAAGGAAGAGTAGTGACTATTTTAAACAGCTATTGGAATTTCAAAACAGAGTGAAGACTTTGTCAAGAAAAGTCACATACAGTCAAAAATCTCAAAAATCAAGTTTCTGAATAAGAAAACATATTGCTTAGAAGAAAAAAGTTACAAAGTTGGTGAGAAACTAAAATACCAGCTTTTAGTGACTAAAACAAGATGCAATAGGACAAATTGAAAATATTTCAGTCTTAAAAAATTGAGTAAGTTAATGTAGTGATGACATATCACATAATATTGAAAAGGCTTTATGTAATGAACTGAAAAGGAAGAGCTTGTCTATGTAGATTGATTAGTGAACATATTTTACCAATAAATGTCATGCTATCATATTTCTAAGATTTGTAAAGGACGGAGAAATTCAAGAATAATTTTGCTACTGCAATAAGTTGCTGAAAGCAACATAAGTCAAGACATATTTAATGTTTTGTCTTCATACTTTGAAAAAAATAAAGGTGTATCTTGAAGAAATTGCATTGGCATCTGTCCTAATGGTATCCCATCAATGGTTGGCTCTATCAGAAGGTCTAGCTCTCTAATTGTTAAAAAAAAAAAAAAAAAAATCCTCACATTTTTCTCAATACACTGCTTTCTTTGCAGGAAGGTGAAGACAAAATGAATTACATTCTAGTTGATGCTACAAAAGTGATTAGCTTTCTTAAACAAACACAAGGCCACTTAAAAATATTGAAAAGACAGTAAAAACCTGGAAAAAGAATGTACACTTTTTCCCTCGATGCAGAAATCTGGTGGTTGACCAAAAGAGAATTCTTAATGTGATGTCTGAGCTAAAAGACCACTTTCCAAACAAAAAAAAATTGTCAGCCAAAAACTTTCACAATAGTACTTTCAAAAAAGTACTTTCTATCTGAAACCACTATGAACACCTAAATGCACGTAAACTAGAAAATCTAGAGGAAATGGATCAATCCCTGGAAACATGCAACCCCCCTACCTTCAATCAGGATGAAATAGAAATCCTGAACAGACCAATAAGAGGCATGAGATAGAATCAGTAATAAAAAATCTCCCAACATAAACAAAAAAATCCCAGGGCCAGATGGATTTACATCAAAATTTTACCAGATATTGAAAGAGGAACTGATACCAATAATACTGAAACTATTCCAAATGACTGAGAAGGAGGGAATCCTCCCTGTCTCATTCTATGATGTGAGTATTACGCTGATATGAAAGCCAGGACAGAACACAACAACAAAAAAGAAAACAATAGACCAATATCCCTTATGAATATACAGGCAAAAATCTTCAACATAATACTAGCAAACCAAATACAACAGAATATCATAGAGATAATTCACCATGATCAAGTGGGTTTTATCCTAGGGATGCAAGAATAGTTCAACATACACAAGTCAGTAAATGATTCACCACATAAACAGAATAAAAAACAAAAATTATCTGATCATTTCAATAAATGCAAAAAAAAAAAAGGATTTTGTAAAATTCTGCATCCCTTCATGAAAAAAGCCCTCAACAAACTGGGCATAGAAAGAACATACCTCACAATAATAAAAGCCATATATGACAAACCCACAGCCAACATCATACTAAACGGGTAAAAGTTAAAAGCATGCCCCTTCAGAACTGGAATAAGACAAGGATACCCGCATTCACCACTTCTATTCTACGTTGTACTAGAAGTCCTAGCCAGAGCAATCAAATAAGAGAAAAAAATAAAGGGCATCCAAATTAGAAAAGAGGGAGTCAAACTATCTCTGGTTGCCACTGATATGACCTTATACCTAGAAAACCTTAAAGACTCCTCCGAAAGACTCCGCTTTGACAAGGATTTGAATTCAGTAAAGTCTCAAGTTACAAAATCAACATACTCAAATCAGTAGCACCAATTCACTAATAACAACCAAGCTGCAAATCAAATCAAGAAGCCAATCTCATTTAGCAAAAGAAAAAAATACATAGGAATATATTTGCAGTAGTCCATCTTGTGTCGCTATAAAGAAATACTTGAGACTGGGTAATTTATAAAGAAAGGAGGTTTGATTAGCTCACAGTTCTGCAGGCTGTACAAGCATGACACCAACATCTACTCACCTTCTGATGAGAGCCTCAGGAAACTTCCAATCATGGCAGAAGGTGAAAAGGAAGCAAATGTATCACATGGTGGGAGCAGTACCAAGAGAGAGAGTGGGAGGGGATATGCCACACACTTAAACAACCAGATCTCTCAAAAACTCATTCATTATCTCCAGATCAGCACCAAGCCAAGAGGGATCCACGCCATGACCGAAACACCTCCCACCATGCCCCACATCCAGCACTGGGAATATCAATTCAACATGAGATTTGGTGGGGACATATATTCAAACCGTATCAGTACTTAATTAAGGAGGGGAAAGATCTCTGCAAGGAGGTCTAGAAAACACTAATGAAATAAATCATAGATGACACAGACAAATGGAAAAACATCCCCTGCTCATGAATTGGAAGAATCAATGTCTTTAAAATGACCATACTGCCCAAAGCAATCTACAGATTCAGTGGAGTTTCTATCAAAAAATACCAATGTCATTTTCACAGATTTAAGAAAAAATAATCCTAAAATGTATATGGAACCAAAAAGAGTATGAATAGCCAAAGCAATTATAACCAAAAAGAACAAATATGAAGGTGTTACTTTAGAAGACTTCAAATTATGCTATAGAGCTATAGTAACCAAAGAAGCATTGGTGCTGATATACAAGCAGACACATAGACCAATGAAACAGAATAGAGAACCCAGAAATAAAACCACATACCTACAAAAAACTGATCTTCAATAAAGGCAGACAAAAACATTAACTGGGAAAAGGATACCCGATTCAGTAAATGATGCTGGGAAAATTGGATAGCCACAGGCAGAAGAATGAAACTGGATCCCTAGAATAAAGACTCAAATGTAAGACCAAACTCCATAAAAATTATCAAAGAAAACCTAGGAAAAACTCTTCTGGACATTGGTGTAAGCAAAGAATTTATAACTAAGACCCCAAAGCAAATGCAGGAAAACCAAAAGTCAATAAATGGGGCTTAATTAAACTAAAAACTTCTACACAGCAAAGAAATAATCAACAGAGTAAACAGACAGCATACAGAATGGGAGAAAATATTCACAAACTGTACATTTGACAAAGGACAATATCCAGAATCCAAAAAGGAATTCAAACGAACTAGCAAGGAAAAAAAAAACCTATTAGAAAGTGGACAAGTGAAACTTTTCAAAAGAAGATATACAAATGGCAAAAAAATATATATATTTAAAAATGCCCAACATCACTAATCATCGGGGAAATGCAAATTAAAATTAAAAATGCAAGTCAAAAACAATAAATGGCTTGGCTATGGTAAGAAGGGAATGCCTAGACACTGTTAGTAGGAATGTGAATAAGTAAGACCTCTATGGCAAACAGTATGGAGATTTCTCAAAGTTCTAAAAGTAGATCTACCGTTCACTCTAGCAATCCCACTACTGGATATCTACCCAAAGAAAAAGACACCTGCACTTACATCAAAAAGACACCCGCACTTGTGTATCTATCACAGCACAATTCACAATTACAAAGATGTAAAATCAATCTAAATGCCCATCAGATAATGAATGGATAAAAAAAATGGTGTGTGTATATATACACATAGAATACCATGGAAGTAGTATACCATGGAACACTATTCAGCCATAAAAAAGAACAAAATAATGTATTTTGCAGCAACTTGAATGGAACTAGAGGCCATTATCCTAAGTGAAGTAATTCAGGAATAGAAAACCAAATACTGCATGTTCTCAGTTATAAGTAGAAGCTAAGCTATGGGTATGCAGGGGCATACAAAATGGTATAATGGGCATTGGAGACTCAGAAGTAGGTAGGATGGCAGGGGATAGGGATGAAAAATTATATATTCTATATAATGTACACTATTTGGGTGACAGTTACACTAAAAGCTAAGACTTCGCCACTATAGAATTCATCCATATAACCAAAACCATTTGTACTGCTAAATCTATTAAAATAAAAAAATTTTTTTTTAGAAAAAGGTACTTTCAAAACAAATAAAACTACTTTGAAAGAAATAGCTGGATTCTGCTGAGCACTTTGAAAAAGAATACTACAGAAACTAGACTACTTCACAATTATTTTTCTTCACATGAACTAGTTGAACACAACTGAAAGATTCTTAGAGTTAAAAGGAAACAAAAGTTTTTGGGAAAATATCATTTTCCAAAAGCCTACTTTTTACCTTCATGAGTCAAGTGTGAGATGAAACACAGAGGCAAAGTACAAGAGAGAGCTGAGAAGATGTGCAAAGGTAGAATGAGGTGGGAGGGTTCCAGAGCTTTCCCTTGCAATATTCTCTTACTGAGTACTGGCCACACAGGTGGGCTATTTTAATTATATCCCTATTTTTTTAAGAAGGAAACAAGAGACCCTGATCAGTAATTGGGTCTTAATGTCTTCTCATCACTAATACCAGGTAGGTCATAGTCCAACGAATACAAATTAGATATTTATGTTGCAATATTCGTTCAGTTGTTTCCAAACCACTCGCTCACCAAAGACAATTCATTTGCTTTACAGGCTAACTTTGTCTTGAGACATATTTGCTTGCTCTATTCCATCTGGGGCTCTGAACAAGTTTCTTTAGAAAAAGAGAAAATAATAGAGTGAGAACTGATAAATTTTGGAAATAGATCCCAGATTTTTAATGATGCCAAGAAAAAAGGAAGGCATATAATTTGTAAAGTACCCACAGGGCCCTAAAACATGATTAGTCAAACACATAGAAAACATTTTCACATCTTTTCTTAATTGTAACAGATGGTTGAGCAATAAATTTCTATTTCAGGCTAAAGGATGTTCTGTAAATATATCTGGCTGGAGCCCAGGCTGGCCAGTATAGTATTTCATTGTTCAGAGAAGATCGTTTCTGTATTAATGAACTGTTAGAATTGCTCCCACTAGCTGCCTGGGCGTAACTATTATTATTGAAATTGAAGCCCTTAGTATAACAAAATTTCAAACCTAAAAGGAACAAGTCTTCCATAGTCCTCTCATTTTATAGATAAAATAAACAAAGAAACAAAACTAAGGCCTACACAGGTAAAGCGGTTTTCCCCAAGCCACACAGCTAACTCATTACAGAGCTCGAACCCAAACTTGAAACACCTTACCAGTACATGTGTGATGCCACCAGTAATAATGAGACTCAAAAAGATGAGAAAATAACTTGTCCAAAGTCACACATCTAGTTCATAACAAAATTCTGCATACATTCAGATCTTCTCAGTTGAAATTCTATAATTTCTGCACTATCCTCCAAATGACATCTTATAAAAGAATTCCCAGAATGTATTAGTTCCTATAGTAGAGATTAGGGGGCAGAGAAATAAGCATTGACTCTGGAATTAAATAGACCTTAAATTCTAATATCAATACTGTCCATTGCTAGCTGTGTGGACGTTGGCAACACACAAGTCTCATTAAGCAACAGAAGATACATTAATCATCTGTACAACTGAGACATTAACACCAACATCTTAAATTTGATATGAGTTTTAAATTAGAATAGATACAAAATACATAGTACAGTGCCTGGCACATTCCAAGCACTCAACAGATGTTAGTTGGGCTGATTTTCCTCTATGTCAATATCAAAATACTCAGATTCTTTAGGATATATGTTGTTGGCATGTCATTAATTTGAAATGGGGAGAAAAGATTCTTCTACTCTGTGTAAACCACATTAGTCATCTACTTACATCTTCAAGTCAGTGGTTGGGGCTGGAATAGGAAGAAGTAGTAAAAAGGAAAGTAAAAAGAGTATATCAAAAAAAAGTTGAACCCACCCACAAGTGAATTGAAACACCAGAAAATATTAATATGTAGGCTTTGAATTCTAATGACGTCTGTTTCAACCCATGTTAGCTGTCATTTATGACATGACGTGCCCCTACGAAGTCTTCCAGACATCAACTATATCAGGAGTCTTCTAGCAGAAACTCTCACTTCACTCCCTCACTCCCCTCCCACCCATACATCCAGAAGAAACAGGAGTCTCATCCTCAAGACAAACATGAAGCCCTGTGGGCAAGGAAAAGAGGAATTAAAAAAAGCCAAATAGACTGAGTCCCCCTGGCAGGAAGGGTAGGTGAAATTGGCCCTTAATATGGGTAACCCCAGGTTGGGGTGCCTTAAACTTGTCACTGCTGTGCATGAAGAAGCCAAATGGCCAAAAATCCTGACCCAGGGAGGTTGGCTTTGTTGTTCCCATTTTACAGATGAGTAACAGACCCTCTGATAAAGAGATGTATGTACTGACAAAGTTAACACAGCTTCGTAAGTGACAGAATCAGTATTGATAGAGCATTGCAAGAGAAGAGAGTCCAGGATGAATCATCACGGCAAGAGTTACAGAGAAAGGCACAGGAACCAGAGGCACAGTCCAGAGGGTCAAATGATCCAGAAACATTTACCCTCTAAGCTCAAATGACCCATTGCCAGGAGTAGGGCTTTCACTTCTACCAAGCTGATAGAGCTGGTGAACAGGTGTGATGAAAGTCAAAGGCACTGGCGAAGAGCAAGCAAAGGGAGTTCCAAGCAGATGTTCCCTGTTGGGCATTTAGATTGTGGGCTTCTGCAGAAGCTATTTACTCCACCTGGAACACTCCCATCTCTTAAAGTTATCTGAAATATAAATAAAAATAGTTACCATATGGAGAGTTTTATCTTTGTTCCACTCAGGAAAAAATACTGATATTCTCCCAGTTAACATGCACAGAGATCATCTGGGGATAACAGGTTGTGTTACCAGAAACTCAGTGCCTTAAAATAACCCAAATTTATTACCTTACAACTCTGGAAATTCAGAAGTTCAAAATGGGTCTTATGGGCTAAAATCAACATAGCTGCCGAGCTGTATTCCTGGCTCTGGGGAAAAAAACCTATTTCCTTAACCTTTTCTAGTTTCTAGGGGCTGCCTGCATTCCTTGCCTCCATCTTCAAGGCACGTCACTCTAACCCTGCTTCTGTCATCACATCACCTCTCTCTGCCTTTGACTCTCTTGCCTCTCTCTTACAAGGACCTTTGTGATTACAATGAACCCAGCTGGGTAATTCAGAGTAATCTCTCCATCTCAAATTCCTTAATTTAATGACAATTGCAAAAACTTTTCTACCATGTAAAGAAACATAGATTCACAGGTTCTAGGGAGTAGGACATGGGCATATTTGAGGGGACATTATTCTTCCTACAAAACAGGTACATTGTTTATTTGAAGTTTTAAAAACTGAGTAAAACCTATCCCTCTGTATTGACCTATCACAGTCTCTTTCACTAATATCCTATGTTGGAAATGTTAAAAACCACAGTGATTCCTCTCTCAATCCTTTCCACACTCAAACTCTAAAACATCTCCAAATTTTCCCCTCTATCCCATTTACATCCCTAATTCAGGCCCTTCTTACCTATTGCCTGGATTATTTCAAAGGCATCCAAACTCATCCTCATGCCAACATTTTCTCCCTGTTCAAAAGCATTTTGCAAAACGCTCCCAGAGTTATGTCTTAACACACAATTGTTAAAAGAAGAACTTCTGACAAAAGAAATTTAACAAAGTTTACTTGAACAATCTGTGAATCAGAAAGCACCAACATGAAAGGATGTTATGGGCTCTGCTCCAGTAGTAACATGAGCAGCAAGCTTTATAGGCTGATCACCAAACAAAGAAATTGCCTGATTGGCTGCAGCTAGGCATTTCCTTTATTTTGGTATGATTCTATGGAAGGTCCCTAGTTACAGAATCAGTCAGCTAGTTGGCTGTTTATGACTGTCAGAAGTTCAGTTGTTTTTGTTTGGTTTGCTTTTGTTTTTAAGTCAATTACAAGTAATGCCTTCAAGTTAAGTTTCAGCTTGCTTACTTAAGAGCTCCCAGTACAGAGATAATCTTGGGCCAATGGCCTGGCCTCCTCATTTGCTTTGACACAATTATGTGTCAGATTCTTGTTTAAAGCCTCTAATGGCTGCTCATCATCTAACAGGATAAAGTCCACATAGCTCAGTTTGACAATCAAAATCCCTTAACAATCCTACCCCCAAACTACTTTTAAAATCCTCTTTCATGTATGTAACATCCCAGCCACATAGGACTTCTATTTTCAGAGGTCTGTGAGCACTTGAGAATGCCTTGACTTTACTCATTGTAAAGCAATACTCATTGTATTGCTGGATGCCCTTAATCTCTTTCTCTGCCTCCTGAGATTCAAGTCAGCCTTTTCATACACCTCCAAAATACCAACCAAATTTTACCTGCCTCTTCCTCCAAAATATTTTCTCAAAATGCTGTACCCAGCCAAATTAGTCATCCCCATGTATGTTTACAATTCCTCATTCTTTTTATTATAATATCTATACTTTTAATTACTAGTTATTTTTATCATCGAATGCCTTTTCTCAAACCAAGAGTTTATTGAAGGCAGGGGCTGAGACTTTTTTTTTAAATTTCTGACCCAGCATTGAATATAAGCCTAGCTCATGGTAGCTATTCAATAACGTTTTTTGTTCTGAGCAAAACTGAGACTCAGATTGGTTCTTTACAGAATAGTAGATCAGTGACAGCCTGGGGAATCAATTTATTAATAAACATTTTTAATTTTACTTCGGATAGAAAAAAGAAAGAAAGAACACTTTCGTTTACCATTTTTTTCTTTCTTTTTTTTTTTTTTTGCACTGATATCTGGAAAGACAGAGAAATGGAAGATAAGATTTGCCTGTCCTGACCCAGTCTAAAAAGTAGAAGTAACATAGAAAGAGCAACAACAGGGGGAAGCTAAAGAGATCATGATAAGAATCTTGTAAGACTTGGGAAAAGAAGTACTAATTCAGAGGTCCTCATGGCAGAATTTTACAGAGGTAAGTACAAAGTAACCATCCTATGCTACCATAGTCTCAGAGGGTTGAGAGTGGTGACCCATGGAGAATCTCTGTTCTCATCAAGTACAGGGGAGATAAAGGCACCCAGCAGTTTCCTTCTTACAGAAAGTCTGGTAATCATAGCAGGTGCAGAGTTTCTCCCCGAAGCGTATTTTGGGCATCAAATACACTTTAGCAAAGTGTTCCTAGCACTTTAGCAAAATATTGGAGCAGAGAAACATAAAGGAATTTATGCAAACTCATAAACCTTCTCTTGGGGATTCCCAGAAATACTTGTGGATACTCCAGAAGCGTTAAGCAAGCTGAGGTTCTGCAATCATGCAAATTAGAAATAAGAGTCATGGGAAGCTGAGTGATAAAGTTCATATAACCTCATATTTATTCAAAGCTGGTGAGGCCTGAGATCATTCAGGTTAAATAAAAGATTGAATAAATGAATGAATGATATGCATGATGGAATGGAGGTGGGAATTTTTACCAAAATCCAGGTTTTATTTTCAGTGTTCAGGTCTGTGCTTAGTAGGAAACTGTAAATTCATTTTATTGAAGGTGTGTTTCAGATAGGAGTTAATTATTTTAAAAGCTTAATTCAGTGGCTGGCACATGTCCTAGTTTCACTGCTAAGTCTATCATCCTAAACCTATAATGAACTGCAAGCTTTTTAACACTATACAGTTGTCCCTCCTCAGATCTGTAGTTTTGCTCCTCTGCTTCAGTTTCCTGTGGTGGGCCAAGATCCAAAAATAGGTGCATGCAGTACAATATTTTGAGAGAAAAAGAGAGTACACATTCATATAGCCTTTATTACAGTATTATAATGGAGTTCTATTTTATTATTAGTTGTTACTCTCTTATGATGTATAATTTATAAATTAAGCTTTATCATAGGTATGTATGTAGAAGAAAAAACATAGTCCATACAGACATACCTTGGAGATATTCTGCATTTTGTTCCAGACTACCCCAATAAAGTAAATATTACAGTAAGGCAAGTCACACAATTTTTTTGGTGTCCTAGTGTATATAAAAGTATACACTTTGTCCTAGTCTATATAAAAGTAATGTTTACACTTATAAACAGTATATATATATATGACTATAAACTATAAATGTTTATTGTCAATCAAGCGAAATGCAAATCAAAACCACAACGTGATACCACCTTACTCCTGCAAGAATGGTCATAATAAAAAAATAATAGATGTTGGCATGGATGTGGTGAAAAGGGAACACTTTTACACCACAGATGGGAATGTAAACTAGTACAACCACTATGGAGAACAGTATGGAGATTCCTTAAAGAACTAAAAGTAGATCTAGCATTTGATCCAGCAATCCCACTACTGGGCATCTACCCAGAGGAAAATAAGTCATTACATGAAAAAGACACTTACACATGGTTGCTCATAGTGGCACAATTCACAATTGCAAAAATATGAAACCAGCCCAGATGCCCATCAAACAACGAGTGGATAAAGGAAATGTGGTATATATATACATACACCATGGAATAACAGCCACAAAAAGAAATGAAATAATGACATTCACAGCAACCTGGACGGAATTGGAGACCATTATTCTAAGAGGTAATTCAGGAATGGAAAACCAAACATCACATGTTCTCACTTATAAGTGGAAGCTAAGCTATGAAGATGCAGAGGCATAAGAATGATACAATGGACTTTGGCGACTCAGGGGAAAGGGTGTGGGGTGGGTGTGGGATAAAAAACTACACATTGGGCATAGTGTACACTGCTTGGGTGATAGGTGCACCAAAATCTCAGAAATCACCACTAAAGAACTTATCCATGTAACCAAACATCACCTGTACCCCCAAAATTACTGAAATAAAAATAAATTTTTTAAAGTGTGCAATAGCATTATGTCTAAATACAATGCACATATCTTAATATTAAAATACTACATTGCTAGAAAATGCTAATGATCATCTGAGCCTTCAGTGAATCCTAATCTTCTGTTGGTGGAGAGTCTTGCCCCAACATTAATGATTTCTGACTGATCAGGACAGAAATTGCAGAAGATTGGGGTGGCTGTGGCAATTTCTTTTTCTTTTTTTTGGCAGAATCCAGAAGTCATTACAAATCGTATTTCTTTTTTGTTTTGTTTTGTTTTGGGGCTGTAGCAATTTCTTAAAATAAGACCCCAATGAAGTTTGCCACATGGATTGACTTTTCCTTTCACAAAAGAGTTCTCTGTCATATACGATGCAGTTTGATAATATTTTACCCAACAGTAGAACTTCTTTCAAAATTGGAGACGATCCTCTCAATGTCTGCTGCTGCTTTATCAACTAAGTTTATAAAATATTCTAAATTCTTTGTTGTCATTGCAACAATATTCACAGCATCTTCACCCAGAGTAGATCCCTTCTCAAGGAACCACTTTCTTTGCTCATCCATAAGGAACAATTCCCCATCCATTCAAGTTGTATTATTAGATTGCAGCAATTCAATCACATCTTCAGACTCCACTTCTAGCTCTAGTTCTTTTGTTATTTATTTCTACCATATCTGTAGTTACTTCCTCCACTGAAGTCTTGAACTGCTCAAAGCGATCCATGAGGGTTGGAAGTAACTTCTTCCAAACTCCTGTTAGTGTTGATATTTTGACCTCTTTCCATGAATCACAGATGTTCTTAATGACATCTAGAATGCTATAATTCTTTCCAGAAGGTTTTCAGCTTACTTTGCCCAGATCCATCAGAAGAATCGTAACCTGTGGCAGGTATTGCCTTACCAAATGTATTTCTTATATAAGATTTGAAAGTGAGAATTAATCCTTGATCCATAGGCCACAGAATGGATGTTGTTAGCAGGCATAAAAACAACATTAATCTCCATGTACATCTCCATCAGAGCTCTTGGGTGACCGGATACATTGCCAATGAACAGTAATATTTGGAAAGGAATTTTTTTGAGCAGTAAGTCTCAACAGTGGGCTTAAAATATCCATGCTGTAAACAGATGTGCTGTCATTCATTCTTTGTTGTTCCATTTATAGAGCACAGGCAGAGTAGATTTAGCATTATTCTTGAGCCCTTTGATTTTCAGAATGGTCAATGAACATTAGCTTCCATTTAAAATCACCATCTTCATTAGCCCTAACAAGAAAATCAGCCTGCCCTTTGTCCTTTGAAGGCAGGCATTGGCTTCTTTCTAGTCTAGATGGCATCGTCTTCCAATATAAGGCTGTTTCATATACATTGAAAATCTATTGTTTAGCACAGCCACCTTTATCAATTATATTAGCTAGAGCTTCTGGATAGCTTGCTGCAGCTTCTGCGTTAGCACTTGTTGCTTCACCTTGCACTTTTATGTTATGAGACAGCTTCTTTCTTCAAACCTCATAAACCAACCTTTGTTAGCTTCAGACTTTTCTATGCAGCTTTCTCACTTCTTTCAGTCTTCATAGAATTGAAGAGAGTTAGGGCCTTTCTCTAGATTAGGCTTTGATTTAAGGGAATGTTGTGGCTGGTTTGATCTTCTATCCAGACCATTAAAACTGGAGTAGCACTTTTAAGTTCCTTCAAGAAGTTTTCTATTGCATTCACAACTTGGCTGTTTGTTTCAAGAGGCTTAGCTTTTGGCCTATCTCAGCTTTCAACACGCCATCCTCAATAAGCTTAATCATTTCTAGCTTTTGATTTAAAGTGAGAGAGATACAGCTCTTCCTTCCATTTGAACACTTAGAGGTCATTGTAGGGTTATTAATAGTCCTAAATTCATTATTGTCATATCTCATGAAACAGAGATGCCCAAGGAGAGGGAGGGAGACAGGACAACAGGTGGTTGGTGGAGTAGTCAGAACACACACAACATTTATGGATTAAGTTCGCCATGTTATATGCGTGTAGTTTGTGGTACCCCAAATAATTACAATAGTAACATCAACAAATCAGCAAATATCACCATAACAGATATAATAATAATGAAAAAGTTTGAAATGCTGTGAGAATTACCAAAATGTGACACAGAGACATGAAGTAAACACATGCTGTTGGAAGAATAACCCTAATAGACTTGGTTGATGCAGGGTTGTCACAAATCTTTCATTGTTAAAAATAAATTGCAAAATCTGTGAAGTGTTATAAAATGAGGTATGCCTATATAAGGTTTGGTACTATCTGTGATTGTAGGCATCCACTATGGGTCTTGGAAAAAGTCCCCTGTGATAAGGGGGGAATACTGTACATCAGTTTCTTTGTCCATGGAACAGAACTCCAATTTATCCACTACACAGTATAAAGGAAAGCCAGATATGTAAAATATTTTTTCTAAGGAATGAAACATGCTGAATCAAATAAAGCATAATGATCTATTTAACCTTGCTCTTAACTGAGGGGAAAAAAACAAAACAGTATACAGAGTTAAAAAAAATGGAACTTTAATATAGTTTACCTTGTCCGTTGTTTAACTGCCTATGAGATGCTAAGTTGAAATATTGTCTAACGTTCTGCCAGTAGGAGAAAAAAAATAACAGCAGATGGGCCAAGCAGAAGGCAGTGCCAAATCACTTTGAATTCTTTTCTGTGTAGTTTTTCTTCCAGTTTCATTATAGATATGACTGTGATTGATAATCCTACATCAGAAAACATATATCAGATATTCTTATAATTGTATTACACATGTGTTTCTTTTAGGGCCACTTCTATAAGCAAGATAGTATAATTAAAGTCTTTTCTAGACGGCATAGAGACGATTAGGAATCCTTGAGGAGTGAAAGAATTATCTAAGAATAGTGAAAATGAAGAGACTACTACCAGGAAACTGCATACACTAATGCCACTGGCCTGTTTTTGATGTTAACTGATTTTACCCATGAAGATGCTTATTAGTTATCATGCACTCACTCTGATCTTGTTCAATTTGTCATCAGGAGCTAAGTGGTGTAACGGCAAAGGCAACAGATGTTGGGGATGACAAGCCAAATTACTGCAAACTCCGTCAATAATTTCCCCTCAAAACTAAATGGTATGACTTTCTAATCCCCTGAATTCATTTCTTTCATAAGCAGTCTATGGGTTTCCATCTGTTTCCTGGACACAGATAACCTTACTTCCTGCCACACATGATAAGTCTACTCATCAGAGTTCAACCAGTATTCCTTTGTCATTGCAAAACACTTCTTCCAACTGCAGCATTCTCAATCAGGACTGCAATTGAAAGACTGGTAACAGTCCCACAGGAAATATCCATCGTTTGGCAGGCCCACTTTGAATCCAAAGCTTTTGAATTGTGCATTGTCCAGTGTATTTTAAAAGTGTTTTCATAATTATATAAAAGTATGTTTATAAAATGTCTTCCTTCAACTTTTATACTGAGATACACTAGTTTATTAGTAATGAAAACTGGTTTATTCAAATAATATACTGGATTACTATTACTAAAATATATATTAACTCATATTGATTGCAACAACACTGTGATTGTTATTCACTATTTACAGAGGAGGAAATCAAGATCTGGAGAGTTTATTTTTAAAATCTTATTGAGAATTTTCTGGGCGTTAGACAAGAAAGGCATGAAAGATATAGCCATGATAAAATCAACATGGATTCTGTGCTCATGGGTCTTAAATCCAGTAAAGGAAACAGGATTTAAATATGTTATACTACTAACTATAACAAACGCTATGAAGAAAAGGGTGCAATCGTAAATTATAACAGTATGGTATAATTTAGATTGTAAGGTGAGGAAAGCCTTCTCTGATTAAGGGATTTTGAAGCTGAAATCACACGGATGATTGGGAGTTACCCCGGCAAAAAGTAAAAGAAGGCTAGGCATCACTTTAGAAAGGTTTTAGGTGGGAGAGAGGCTAACCCATTCCAACAATGGATAAAGAGGGGAAAGTGACATGCGGCAAACCTAAGCAGGAAAACAGGGAACATATACGGGGTCATGTTAAAGTACTACCTGACTTGTCCAATGTCACACAAATAGAAAATGGCCTTGCTGAGACTAAGTTTCTTAATTTCTATTCTGCTGGTTTTTCCACTTTGCTACTACACTGTCTTTTTACAAATGAGTGAACAAAGATATTCTCCTATTTTGAATTCATATTTTCAGATGACGGCCTTTAAAAAGCAACAATACGGTAGTGATTTATCAAAATTGATTGTTGGCTAAATTAATATCTTAATAGTGGGTTGTTTATATTCATTACATTAATTAGAATTTTAGCTATACTAAGATTTATTAGAGAGACACAGAGTGTGGCCCGCTCCCCCAGGGCCCTCCAGGCCCTTCGGCCGCGGGCCGGCGGGTGAGCTGGGGGTCCCCAGGACAGGCCGCGCCCTCTGTCCTGCAGACACCTGAGGCCTCCGATGTGGCTGCCCACTGGCCGGACCCAGGTCTTGAAGCCGCGGCGAACCTCTCATCCCCACCCCACCTCGGTGACTGATGGCGGCAGCGGCTTGTCCCTGCCGGGACCCCACCCAACACCGGGTCTCCCAGCCCAAGCCTGCCGGAACGCAGTGTCTTTGGGTGGCGGCGGGAGTGGCGGGCCCGGAAGCATGGCGGCCACCCAAACGCCAGGCGATGGAAGCCGTTAGGGCGTGGCGGAACCGGAAGGCGGCCTAGGGACGCACGCAGGCTCGGCTGTCTCTTTAGGCCACGGAGCTGCGTAGATCCGGAACCCTGGGCGACTGATCTGTCCCCATTGGGCGAGACCTACCTAGACAAAGGCCTTAACATACCGACAAAGGCCTTAAGGGGCCTGGGAGGTGAGCGAAGTCCCGAAAAACGGGTGGAAGGTTAGGGGCCATGGGGCGGCTGGTCTTCCTTCTACCAGATCTTGCTGTTGGGAGAAATGGTAGAATGACAGGCCACTTTTGGCCCGTTGGAAATGCCCACCACCCTTTGGGAAGATTTACTGGCCATTTATGGAAGGCCTGTGTATACAATATGAAAAACCTGCCCTCAACTCCACCCTAGCCTGTTGATAGAAAACATTTGTCACATCTAGCCCTTCTAGATGGAAAGAGGTTCCTGACGTATGATAAAGTAGAGTTAGAAAGTCACATCTTGTAAATTCTCATTTGTTTAAAGGAAGTCGTACAAAATAAATGTCTTCTGGAGATGATTTTTGGAAATGGAGTTATTAGACAGCCCCTGGAAGCGATACATCCACGTTTGTTCAGTGGGTTAGATGACATGGAGCTGGAAGACCTGAGAAGGAAGAGAAGAAGGTTCTATGACAGACTGGTCATATTTAGAAGACACTTTCATATTCTATCCATAGTTTTGTATGCATTTTATTCCTCACTACCTTATATATAGTTGACAATGCTAAGCTTTTTTGAAATGTCTGTTTTTTTAGATGTTCTGAAGTGCCTGATATATGTTAAAATTAAAGGTAATAAAAACACATTTTGTAAGTATCTTTTTGTTACAATTCATAGAAAATGTTGCTTTGGTGGGGAATGGCCAAATCACCTGTTGAGTAATACTCATTGTGTTTGTGCGCTGGTTCAGGGGAGGAGGGAAGAGGGGAAAGTGCAGAGAGCTCTATGCCACCCTGCCTACAGCGGGGCAAGATGAATCATCTATTTCTGTGCATTTTGTTTTACTTATCTGTGTATGTAGTGTACATAAAGGACAAATGAGCCCTAATTTACAACATCTAGTCTTTCTAGATGCTAAGGAGGTTGCCAGTGTCTGACAAAAGTAAAGTTAGTAAACTAATATATTTTGTACATTTTGTTTTACAAGTCCTAGGAAAGATTGTCCTCTGAAAATTTGAGCATTCTTGCCCACTGGGTTGTTGGAGATAGGAAGGGTTCTAGGCCAGAACGTTCATATTTGGAAGATTCTTTCAAATTATAACTGTTGTTACATGTTTGCGGTTTATTCAAGACTGCTTTGTACAAAGTGGACAAATTAACTCCTTACTTGAAACATCTAGTCTATCTAGATGTTTAGAAGTGCCTGATGAATGTTAAATGTAGAGGTAGTAAAATACCATTTTGTAAATATCTTTTTGCTGAAATTCATAGGAAATACTGTCTTTTGGAAATTGAATTGTGAAGCCACCTTTGTGAGAAGTATAGTGCTGTCTATACTTGTTCAATGGTTTAGAAGAGGTAGGAGGGAAGAAATTGCAAAAGGTAATACGCTAGTATGTTCATAGTTGGACTTTTTCAGACACCATTTTTCTGTATCTTTTGTGCATTTTGTTTTGCTCTGTATATAGTGTATATAATGGACAGGTGAGTCCTAATTTTGCAGCATCTAGTCTAGTCTCTAGATGTTAAAGAGGTTGCCAGTGTATGACAAAGTATTTAGTAAAATTAGTATATTTTGTATGCTTTTGTGTTGAAATTCATAGGAAAACTTGTCTTCTGTGAATGACTTTTGCATAGGAATTTGTTCAACCATCCCTAAGCATTACATGTGCCCGTATTTGTCCACTGTATTAAAGTCAGAGAGAGAAGGAAGTGAGGAGGGAATGATTGAAGGCCAAAATATTCACATTTAGAAGATACCTCAGTTGATAACCATTGTTCCATGTGTGCAATTTTATTTAACAGTGCTGTGTACGTGGTGGACAAGTTATATGAAATATCTAGTTTTTCTAGATATTTGGAAGTGCTTGATGTATTTAAAAGCAGTAGTAGAATAACACTTTTTGTAAACAGCTTTTAAAAACTGATAGGAAATGCTGTTTGGAAGTGGAATTGTTGAGCTACCTGGGAGATGAGAGTGAAGAAATAGCAAAAGGTGTTTTGCCGTTGTTTATTAGAAAATTTCAGCTTAATCCATTGCCTATATGTTACATGCATTTCATTTAACTTTGCTATACTGTATATATTGTGTATATACTGGACAAATGAGTCCCGATTTTATAATATCTAGTCTCTAGATATTAAAGAGGTTGCCAATGTGTGACAGAAGTAGAGTTAGTAAACTAACACATTTTGTACACTTTGTTAAAATTCATAGAAAGGCTGTCTTCTGAAAAGGACTTTTGAAAGTGAAATGATAACATCAGCTCTAAGTGACACATATACCTATATCCACCAGGTTGGTGGTGGAGAGGAGTTGGAAGGAATGAAGGATTCTAGACCAGAATGCTCCTATTTAGAAGACACTTTCAGATGTAACCACTGTTACATGTGTGTAGTTTATTCAACACTACTGTGTCCATAGTGGACAAACTTAAGTCCTTATTTGAAACATAAGTCTTTCTAGATGTTTAGAGATGCCCAAAATATGTTAAAAGCAGAGGCAGTAAATATAGTAGAGGTAGAAACATAGTCTTTCTAGATGTTTAGAAGTGCACAAAGTCTGTTAAAAGTAGAGGTAGTAAATAACACATTTTGTAGCTATCCTTTTGATATGAAATATTGTCTTATGGAAATTGATCAGTTCTCTAAGCAGTACACATTATTATATTTGTGCTGGTTCATAGGAAAGGAGGAGCACAAAGTGCAAAGGGCTTTCTACCAGTGTGTTTATGATGATGCCCATTGACCATTGTCCCTTATGTCTGCATTTTCATTTACTGTGCTGTGTATATAGTGTATATAAGTGGACAAAAGAGTCCTAATTTACATCTAGTCGATGTTAAAGGGTTGCCAGTGTATGACAAAAGTAGAGTTAGTAAACTAATACATTGAGTACACTTTGTGTTAAAATTCATAGGGAAGACGTCTTAAAAACACAGAAGTGAAATTGTTAAAATCCCCCTTAAGCATTACAGATGGCTTAAAGCTGTCTCTGGGGTTGGTAGAGGTCGGAAAGGGAAGGGTTCTGGGCCAGAATGTTCCTATTTAGAAGACACTCAAATTAGAGTCTGTGTTATGTATATGCACCATTTATTCAGTGCTATTGTGTATATAAAGGAAAACTTTAGTCCAATTTGAAACATCTAGTCTTTTTAGGTGTTTGAAAGTGCACAACATAGATTAAAAGTAAAGGGCTAAAGTAACACCCCTCTCAGTATTTGTTTTCATTACTTCCTAGGAGTGGTTGCATTTGGGAATGGAATTTTTAAACTTGATGCTTAGGAGCATATGCTGACTATTCATTGGGTGGCGATGGGTTAGGGAGGAGGAAGTATGCAGGGAGAAGGGTTCTGAGCCCATGAGTTAGATTAGTTCAGATGGTCTGACCATTGTTCTATATGTGTATTTTAATTAATATTGTATATTAAAGGATAAACAACTCCTAATGCTCAAAGTATGTTAAAACTAGATGTAGTAAAACAATCCCTTTATAAATGTCCTTTTGTTAGTTTTTAGGAAGGTCCGTCTTCTGGGAGTGACCTTTATTAGGTCCCTAGGAGCTAGACGTCCTATACTTAGCCACTGGGGATGGTGGAAAAGGGAGAAGAGGAAGGGTGAAGGGAAGGGCTCTTTGCTAGTATCTCCATATCTAGAAGATGGTTTTAGATGTTAACCACAGGTCTATATGAGCATTTTTAGTAAATTCCCTGTGTTTATTGTGGACAAATTCATTATTTTGCAATATCTAAACTTTATGGATGTCTGGAGTGACAATATATGATAAAAACTAGAGCTAGTGAATTAGCCAATTTGTAAATACCTTTGTTATAATTGATAGAAAAGATGCGTCTTGGACATGGAATTGTTTAACCACCTCTGAGCAGTATATGTCAGGACTTGTTCGTTAGGTTGGCAGCAGAGGGGCAGAAGGAATTATATAGGAGAGATGTGTGCAGATGTGTCCATATTTACATGTTGACGATAGCCATTGATGTATGTGCATCTCTTTTGGCTGTACTATAGGAATACATTAAGTAATTTAATGGAAATATACCTTGCTAATATTTCAGTGCTATAGATCTGCTAATGAATTATCTTAGAAACATTATACTTAGTGTATTCTGTTGCTGTATGTTTCATTTTAAGTTGAGCATTAAGGGAATGCAGTATTTAAATCGGAACTCTGCCAATGCTTTTATCTAGAGGCGTGTTGCCATTTTCGTCTTCTATGAAATTTTTGTCCCAAGAAAGGCAGGATTACATTTTTTTTAACAGATTGAGTTGGTATAGTGTATTCTTAGTTATCAAAATACTCATATAGCTTTGGGATTTTGAATTGGTAAATATTCATGATGTGTGAAAAAGCAGGATACATACTGTACGATCTCAGTCCCATAAAATTGGATGTTGTGCCTACACACCCACAGGACCTAGAAGAACATGTCAAACTATAAACTGATTGTGATTGTGAATGACTTTGTTCTTTGCTTCTTGTGTTTTTCAGTTTCCTATGTTGCACATATTAACTTTTTAAAAATAAAGATTATTTTTAAAACCCGTAAAAAAAATTATTGAATGCCTCCAATGTCCCAAGCTTTCAGCTGTTTTATTTTCCTATATATTAATTGCATCTAATCATACTTCCCACCAATTTCTACTTTCTAAATCAAGAAATTGAAGTTCTGAAAGCTTCAGTACCTTTCCCAAAAATCACACAAATAGAAAATACTGGAGCCACAATTTGAAAATAGTACCATCTAACTCCAAAGTCAATTCTTACTGTATTTTATCACGCTATCTTTTCAGCAACATAAAAAATTAATTCAGCCTTAGTTTAGTAATATTTCTTTGTAGTACTTTCTTCATCAGAGAGAAAAATGAGGTGCCAACAGATAATTATACATGTGTGGAGATGACTAGATGTTGCTATGAAATCAAATGAAACAATCAACAAAGAGGCTCATTACACCTTTATCATATTTGTTAACTGAAAACATGTTTGTTGTTTCTGTTTTGGTTTGGGGGAGGACTTAGGTAGATAGGGATGATACACTGGCAACTGAGCTTATTTTTACTGTCAAATTAATCATCCTGGGTAGAATGGTTACTTGAATAGCTTGTGTCATTATTACTCTAAAGAAAAGTTGCCACTGGGCTAGAATGGCTCATAAATTTATTGTATCAGCTGGTGTGAAATATTGAGGCATTAATTTAACTATGGCTAAAGTAATAGCTATAATTTTAAGTGAGTTGATATAAAGTTTTGCAACTTAAAACTTGTTCAAACAGGCCCAATAATATTGATATCAGTTAAAATATTTTCTTAAAATCATTGTGCATTTTATAAAGAACTTATTTTATACCAGATTATTAAAAGCCATCCTAAACCATTTTTACACACCACAAATTTGATTTATCAACAGCACTGGTTGCATTTACTAAAATGTAATCCCTACAAGGGTAAGAAGTTTTGTCTATTTAATTTCACCATTCCATCCCCAGCACTCAGAACAATATATTACACATATTAGCATTAAATAAATATTTTTAAATTAATGAATTAATGTGTCTCCGAACCAAATAGTTAATTTCTTTGGGGACTATTTCCTTTACCTGTTAAAAGGGAAGGCTGAGAGAGGCTCTAAGAGGTCATTATCAACTGCTTCTGGCAATTTTCTGACAACCACAAGGGGAATCAGTCTTAAAATGCAGATTCTCTATAGATTACAGAGTGGAGAGAAGAAAGAAGTCTTTCTACCAGTCAGTTGCAAAGCTTCTTATATCTCTGCTTTTGGTAATGGAGATTTTAAAATAATAGTAAAAGCACTTACGATTAAGTTTATTTGAGATAAAATTCCTCTACTTGCTGTTAAAATCATTCAGATTTCCATCTTTTCTATTTTAGTGTAGATTTGAGGCTGTATTGCACTTGTTCTAGTATTGCACTTGTTAGCACTATTACTGTATTACATTTGTTAATACAAATTTCAAAGACATAGCTTTTGGGCACTTGAAGAATAGAAAAATTTTTAATGGGCAAAGAGGAATGAGGCATGGTTTTTTCCCTAGAGAGGCATACAAACATGAGAGGGAACAAAATAAATATCTAAATACAAATTATCTAAAGGGGAATACATATTTACTATGAACATATGTATAGATGTGATGCCTAGTAATTCCATTTGTGTTCTATTCCTCCTCTTTGGTTTATTTTACTGTTGTTGACAATATTTAATAAGTCAAATCCACATCTTAATTGAGCCTGTAGATATTTTAGAGAGAAAAATATTTTATTAGCATCATACATAACAGTATCCATTTGAACTCTGCTGTGTTTAGTTTTTTGGTTTGGTTTTGTTTTGTTTTGTTTTTTGAGACAGAGTCTTGCTCTGTCACCCAGGCTGGAGTACAGTGGCGTGATCTCAGCTCACTACAAGCTCCACCTCCCAGGTTCACGTCATTCTCCTGCCTCAGCCTCCTGAGTAGCTGGGACTGTAGGTGCCCACCATCATGCCCAACACCCGGCTAATTTCTTTGTATTTTTAGTAGAGATGGGGTTTCACAGTGTTAGCCAGGATGGTCTTGATCTCCTGACCTCGTGATCCACCTGCCTCGGCCTCCCAAAGTGCTGGGATTACAGGCATGAGCCACTGCACCCGGCCTGTGTTTAGTTTTTTTTCCCTTTCTTCTATCTATCATGATTTTCTTCTGCTCATACCAGTTATGGTGGGTTGAATAGTGTCTTCCAAAACTTGATGTCTACCCAGAATCTCAGAACACAACCTTGTTTGGAAATAGGGTCTTTCCAGGTGTGATCAAGGTGTGGATCTGGATAAGAGCATACTACATTTAGGTGGGCTGTATATCTAATTGGAGTATTCTTATTCGAGACAAAAAGGGATACACAGAGAGGAAAAGGCAGAGGAACTCTCTGGAGGCAGAGATTGGAGCAGTGCATCTACAAGCAAAGGAATGCCAGGCGCTGGTAGAGGCAAGAAAAAATTCTCCTTCCTCTAGATCCTTTGGAGAGAGTGTGACCCTGCTGGCACCTTGGTTTTGTACTTTTCGCCTCCAGAACTATAGAGAATATATTTCTGTGGTTTTAAGCCACCAAGTTTGCAGTAATTTGTTACAGCAGCCCTAGAAAAATCAACACAACCACGAGTCTGTTTTGTTATATGTTACAATTTGGTTTTAGCTGTGCTTTGGAAGAGGGGCTGTGTAAAATAGCAACTACTAGTGAGAAATGATGATCTATAGAAAGTGTAACAGTTGTCAGAAACAAGGGGATTGGCTAAGGTGACCAACAAACAGCAGGTTGGACTGTAGTGTATCTAAACCTGGAGACATACCTTCATTCCTTCCTTCCCATCATCAATGTCTGAAAATGAGAACCCCCCAAAAGAGGCAAATCTCTGCTCATCAAGTGGAGGGGGATTCAAACTATCATAGGCTGTTTTTTTAAGTGACAGTCCCTGAAAACCCGGGAAGTTAAAGGCCTATGAGTTACCTAAGAGCATAGAGAAAAATAATATGATGAAGTTGACTCAGAAGAAGAATAGTGAACACGCTACCCTCAAAAAGAGAATATACTTCATTAGATACCTTATATCTTATTGCCAAACTTCCACAGAAAATTTAGAATAATTGGTATATATTGTCTCTACTAAAATTTTAATAAATAATGTAAATTAAATAGACCACACTTTGTCATCATAATTAAATAAAAATAGTAATAGTTTTTTAAATCCAATTTTTAAAAATAAATAATGAGAACTAATGGAAAAAAGAAAATTAGGATCAGAGGAATAATAAAAATTAGAATAGTACAAAGCAAAAATTCAGTATTCCTGAAGCTCTAAATGTTTTCAGTGTTAAAAAAGAAAGCATGAACATATATAACTAAAAATGTAAAAAAGGAAAACAAATCAAATTGTTTAAAAAAGCAGAATATAGTTCTTTAAAAGATAACAGTGGTCATTAAAATGTTTGAATAAAAATGAAACCATAGATCAAGACCTCATTTGGGAAAAAAATTAAGATAACTTCTAGCTTGCCTAATCAACAACAGCAATACAACAGTATAAAATACAAATACCTAAATTTAGAAAATAGAGCAACCTAAAACCACAAACATATATATACATCAAAGCCCTTAAATATTTTTCTAATTTTTTACCTAACAAAGTTATTGTTAATATTTTCTTTAATGAAAATTATCATCAGTGAGCCTTCCAATTCATGTGCCTCTGCAGTCTCTAATAAGCCATAGTGTTCAACCAAAGGAGACACTAGTGAGGAGAAAGGAGAGAGAAGAAGAGTGGGGAGGAGAGAAGTGGGAAGAGAGAAGGCAGCAAATGTCTGATTACTCAGAACCTGGATGCTAGGGCAGAATTTTACCTCTGCCTTCAGACATCTTCCCTTGGAATGAATGTGGTTGGTGTTGTGCATCAGAATAGACAAGATGCCACTGGACAAACCCATGTACCAGAGTTCAGGCCTCAGAGCATTTAGGGTATTCCCTCACCCTGGTCTGTCACTCTCATCAATTATAGCATGGCCTACTTCTCCCCGTCCCTTCTGTTCCAAGGTTGTAACATCAGAAGTTGGAGTATGGGAAATGGGACAAATTAGAAGTGAGATTTTAGGAGGTATCTATCTGTCATTGGCTTCTTTCCACTTATGGTTTATTCAGAAAAATGTAGACCTAATTAAGACAGATTCAACTTTTTAACTTACTTAAGTATACCAGATTTAACTAAAATATACCAAGAAAAAAATTTCATTTGGTTAAATGATACTATGAGTTGTGAACCAATGTTTATTCACACATATGCTTCCTCTTTCCCTGACTCCACATTTAGGCCTTTGGTGTAACAGGTGACTTCCTATTGTACACTGAATATTTTTTCTATTATGTTAGGAGATTCTGGGTCCTCTTTAGGTCTTTTGTTTTATCAGCAGTCATCCTATTTAAATTGAGCACACAGGTCTTGGCCTACATTTTTGGGCTGTGACTTCAATGGCAATGTAATTTTCAGTGTCTTTGCAGTGCGATGGTGGTTGGCTCAGTTAATTTGGTACCTCTGGGGCTTCCACTGGTCCTTTCTGGTACTGTCCAGTAAGGAGGAGATTCTCGTGTTGCCCCAGATTTGGGGAAGAGAATCTCAAGGCCACAGGAGTAAGGATCTATTGTGGCAGAGTCTCTATGGCCAGTGCGCTATGGCTTCCCCCATCTCCCTCAGTGGGGGAAGGAGTCTTGGCCCTGGGATGAAGAAACTAAAAGATAAGTCTGCTTTCCTGTCTGCTTACTGTGGAAAAACCCCCTGGCCAGTGCCACTAGGCTGCTGGGTGTCTTTGGGTGACAGAAGGGTCTTAGTCCCAGCAGGGAAGGAGAGAACTTTCCCTGGACAATTATTTTCAGCAGAGCTTCCAATGGATTTACCCTTGAAGGCACTGCCTGTTCTACTGGTGTTGTCTGCGGCATACAGTCAGTCTGGGTGAGGAATGAGCCAGCTAGACCATCCTCTGTTGCTAGGTTGGGGGTTGGAAACACCAGACCTGAGTTGTCTTATTTTGTTGGGTGGGAGTTGCCCTGTGGCTATGTTGTCCCTCCAATCCTGGGTTCCCTGACAAGTTCTCCTTCCTCTCTGTGCCTTTCAGAGTTCTATTTCAATCACCCCTTGCATAATTTCCAGGTTTGTAGCTATACTTGGAGGGAAAGAGCAGGAAGGAATTCTCTGTCCATTTAGGCTTTTGAAACCAATACCTCCAGATCCCTCAAGAGAAAAGATCCACAAAGGGAGTGACATTCCTAGTTTAATTTAAAAAACAACTAAACTAAACTAAGGATCAAATTGTAAACACAGAAAAATATGAGAGGATGGTTGTTGAGCTACTGGTTTTTTTTTACCTAAGAAGTTTTTAACAATGAGATTCTTTCTGGGTTGTGAGTGGAAGACAAGGAGATGGCACTGCTGGAAGTCTCCAAGATGGAGTCTTAAACCTGCTGCAAGTCAGCATTTAAGGTGGTTGATAGGATTTGGCTGTGTTCCCACTCAAATCTCATTGCAAATTGTAATCCCCATGTGTCAAGAGAGGAACTTGGTGGGAGGTGATTTGATCATGAGGGGATTTCCCCTCGCTCTTCTCATGATAGCAAGTGAGTTCTCGTGAGATCTGATGGTTTTATAAGTGGCAATTTCCCCTGGTTTCTCTCTCTCTCCTGGCACCATGTAAGATATGCCTTGCTTCCCCTTGGCCTTCTGCCATAATTGTGGTTCCTGAGGCCTCTCTGGCCATGTGGAATTGTGAGTCAATTAGACTTCTTTTGTTTATAAATTACCCAGCCTCAAGTAGTATCTTTATAGCAGTGTGAAAACAGACTAATACGGTGGTGGGGTGGGAATTCTCTAAGACAGAGTCCTGAACCTGCTCCAACTTAGCATTAAGAAGGAAGGTGGCAGGAGACTCACAAGATGCTAGACCCAATAATAGAAGAGATCTATTAAATCCCTCTTCAAAATAGCAATAAGGACAATACATGTGGGACCCCCAGAAGCCGTAACAGGAGTTTCAGATGCCACCATATTGCAGGCACAGTAGAGATGATTGCCTGAGACTTCACATGCCTGAAGTGCCTGAAGCAACACTACTAATTTCCCATGACCCCAGGGAAGGCCCACACCTTCCCTAGGTCTCTAAGAGAGATGAAGAAGTTAACTGGGGATAGAGAGCCATAGGCTCTAAAGTGGTTTCCCAGATGCAGAGTGGACAACCCAGCTGCAGGCAGATGTAAAGATGGACACCAGCAAATGCTATATGAAGGGATGATAATGGCCAAAGGCCAGTCAGGACGCTTTTCAGTGGATGCCAGCATATGTTCATTATTACCTTCTCTTGATATCCTGATGCCATGTATATCCACCTCTCCCTTCCTCTGATAGTCCCTCAATATTAAGATGCAATTATAAGAAGTAAAGAGGAAGAAAAATCAATTTGCTTAAATAACACCAAAGACTCTAAAAACAAACCCAGATTTACTAATTTTACCTAGAATTGTCCAAATTAAGTTTATCTACCATCAGGTGAAATATTAGATTAAAATACAGACTACATTTAAATTTAGTTTTAGGCATGACACCTAATCCTCTTCTTTTGATATCTAAAGTCTATGAGCTTCCTAGCTGAGGGTGGTGGCTCACATCTAGATCGGGATACTGAGGCAAGAGCAGTGAGCTTTGACCGTGCCACTGCAGTCTGGCCTGGGTAATAAAGCAAGACCCCTTCCCTAACAAAACAAAACAAAACAAAAAAATGCACAAATTTATGGACTTCCTAATTTTATTACAACAAAATTTATACAGAGTAAAAATAAATTAGCTGGACAAAAACACATATATTTGTATATGTTATAGTCTTTCCCAGCTATAAATTGTGTGATATATAGAAAGTAACTCGGAGTCACTATATATTCTCTAACAACACATATTCGTATGATTTTACCCCTTTTCCCATGTGTGATGGTAACACATAACGTTCTATAAGCACTTTCCCTTGCACAGAATAACACCTGTTCTCTTTTCCTCACTTTCCAAGGTGAGATACAAACAAAACTTTAAGAAATCTGTACACAGTAGTTTTCTTAAATTGAAAAACAAAATGGAAATACCCTAAACATTTAAATATAGAGGAATAATCCACTAAATTATAATATATTGTGAATTATTTTCAGTTACCAAAAGTCAGAAGGGGAAAGGAGAGCATTAGAAAAAATAACTAATGCATGTTGGACTTAATACCTAGGTGATGGGTTGATAGGTGCAGCAAACCACCATGGCACACATTTACCTATGTAACAAACCTGCACATCCCCACATGTACCCCGGAACTTAAAATTAATTTTAACAAAGTCAGAATTTTAAAAAAACATTTTACAAAGTGAGTAAAATCTTTAGGATTCATATGACTGAATGTGAAAGATATAATATGCTCCTGAACAGATACTGTTCAGTCTGAAGATATTTATACCTTGATCATCTGGGTCCAGTATATTTGTTTTTTTGTTTTTTTGTTTTTTAATTATACTTTAAGTTTTAGGGTACATGTGCACATTGTGCAGGTTAGTTACATACATACACATGTGCCATGCTGGTGCGCTGCACCCACTAACTCGTCATCTAGCATTAGGTATATCTCCCAATGCTATCCGTCCCCCCTCCCCCCACCCCACAACAGTCCCCAGAGTGTGATGTTCCCCTTCCTGTGTCCATGTGATCTCATTGTTCAGTTCCCACCTATGAGTGAGAATATGCGGTGTTTGGTTTTTTGTTCTTGCGATAGTTTACTGAGAATGATGATTTCCAATTTCATCCATGTCCCTACAAAGGACATAAACTCATCATTTTTATGGCTGCATAGTATTCCATGGTGTATATGTGCCACATTTTCTTAATCCAGTCTGTCATTGTTGGACATTTGGGTTGGTTCCAAGTCTTTGCTATTGTGAATAGTGCTGCAATAAACATACATGTGCATGTGTCTTTATAGCAGCATGATTTATAGTCCTTTGGGTATATACCCAGTAATGGGATGGCTGGGTCAAATGGTATTTCTAGTTCTAGATCCCTGAGGAGTCGCCACACTGACTTCCACAATGGTTGAACTAGTTTACAGTCCCACCAACAGTGTAAAAGTGTTCCTATTTCACCACATCCTCTCCAGCACCTGTTGTTTCCTGACTTTTTAATGATTGCCATTCTAACTGGTGTGAGATGGTATCTCACTGCAGTTTTGATTTGCATTTCTCTGATGGCCAGTGATGATGAGCATTTTTTCATGTGTTTTTTGGATGCATAAATGTCTTCTCAATTCAAGATGGAATAAAGACTTAAACGTTAGACCTAAAACCATAAAAACCCTAGAAGAAAACCTAGGCATTACCATTCAGGACATAGGCATGGGCAAGGACTTCATGTCTAAAACACCAAAAGCAATGGCAACAAAAGCCAAAATTGACAAATGGGATCTAATTAAACTAAAGAGCTTCTGCACAGCAAAAGAAACTACCATCAGAGTGAACAGGCAACCTACAAAATGGGAGAAAATTTTCGCAACCTACTCATCTGACAAAGGGCTAATATCCAGAATCTATAATGAACTCAAACAAATTTACAAGAAAAAAACAAACAACCCCATCAAAAAGTGGGCAAAGGATATGAACAGACACTTCTCAAAAGAAGACATTTATGCAGCCAAAAACACATTTGTTTTTCATCTGTACATAAGTTGGCTGTTCTCTGCAGGCTTCCCTGAAATTATAAGTCAGAATGAATCAAACCATCCCCCTTCGTGCTTCATCTATATTCTGCACTTAAATTTCATTAGCACATATGGCATTGTCTTATTTCTAATTGTGCCATGTCTTACTTATCTTTGTGTTACTAACCACTAGCATTGAGATGATAATCACACATTAGTACTCAGTCCATGTTTGTGGAATACATAAAAAAGGGACAGAGCCCTGACTTTAGATGACATACTCAAAACAAGTTCCTTGGTTAACTGAAAAGCTTACATCTTAACTGGGAATTGTCAAGACTGATAAACACTAAAAAAGAAGAGACTAAGGAAAAGGAAAAGCAACATTGATTTCATAAATCACACACAAATTTACTGAACATTCATATAATGAAAGCTTCAGAAAATGACACAAGCTCTGAACACAAATTTGAAGGAGAATATCTTTCCTTCCTGGATCCTGTCAAGAGGTCAATTGATCAATTAAAGAGCTGCCACTCCAGCAATTTGTCTTAAAAGTAGATTGTTCTTATCAGCAAGTTGTTCAATTAGCATAAAAGTCACAAGACTACATTTCATGTGAATTATTTTTTTCTATGTTAATTGTCTAGAGGGGAGGAAATTAGCCAAAAGGAAGAAAAAATGATGTGAGAAGACAGATTACCAATGAATCATTATAATTTAAAATGTTGTGTATCCTGCTACTGACCAAGAATACAAATATGCAAATATCAATCCAACTTTCATTAATATTTTACCTCAAAAATATAATTGTAAGCTATACCCTGACTAATATGTCAAACCTAATCTGGGAGTCAGTTCTAATTTTCAATATGAAGAAATTTTAGCTGTTTTAAACTCTATTCATGGTAGTTGCTAGTTTAAATTTCTGCTAATAATATAACTCCACTATGCTTGTGAAATCTTTATTGGGTCTTTCTGTATCTGTCATGGGTCTGACTAAAGAACTCCCTGAAATTCATGTATTAGGTGAGACTGAGGAACATTGACAAAGCAATAAGGGTTGACATCCTCCACCCTACAAATCTATCATGGAAATTAATGATCTGCTCCATTTTAACTAACCAATGGTGCAAAGCAGCCATCTTCTAGGGCTTTCAGGAAGAATCTTGAAATCTGAAGCAATAACCTGAGACATTTAAAGCTACAATTTATTTCAGCTTCACTTTATACCCTTCCGCTCTGCCTGCTAAGTTACACTTTCAAATAACCTCAGAAGAATGAGACTCAGCAACGTCTGTGTTTGAACACAAGTTTAGCCTCTGGACAAATGTCCTGTTGGAATCTCACTAAATGTTTTAAGTTTTCAACTTATCAAGTCTAAATTCCATTGACTCTTAGGTTCCTGCTGCCTACATGAACGTGACTGGCCATTTTCTAATCCAATGTTTCTCAGTAGGAGGAATAGCACCTTCTAGAGAGCACTTTAGGAATCTGTGGGTGCATTCTTTTTTGGTTGTTGCAGTTACTAAAAATGTGACTAGTATTTAGAGAGTGGGAATCAGAGATGCCAGATGTCCTGTAATGTATAGGACAGCTACCCCAAACGAAGACATCTGTCACATCCTATGGGACTTGAAAGTATTCCTGGAAGATCAGTGGTTCTCAAACTTTAACCTATATCAGAATCACCTGGAGGTATTGTTCAGCACCAATTTCCGGTCCTCACCCCAGTTTCAGAGTCAGTGGGCTCAGGACAGAGCCAGATAATATGCATGTCTAGCTAGTTCCCAGATGATGCTGATGCTGCTGATCCAGGGGACCATACTTTGAAAACTGTAGCTCTAGATAGATAGTTACGTAGGTAGAAAATCTGTTTATAGTTATCTGAACCTGATAAACTAGTTTCATTTTATGTGTAAAGACATATTTTGCAAAGGCCTTTTCTGAATCTATTGAGATAATCATGTGGTTTTTGTCGTTGGTTCTGTTTATATGCTAGATTACGTTTATCGATTTGCATATGTTGAACCAGGCTTGCATCCCAGGGATGAAGCCTACTTGATCATGGTGGATAAGCTTTTTGATGTGCTGCTGGATTCGGTTTGCCAGTATTTTATTGAGGATTTTTGCATCGATGTTCATCAGGGATATTGGTCTAAAATTCTCTTTTTTTGTTGTGTCTCTGCCAGGCTTTGGTATCAGGATGATGCTGGCCTCATAAAATGAGTTAGGGAGGATTCCCTCTTTTTCTGTTGATTGGAATAGTTTCAGAAGGAATGGTACCAGCTCCTCCTCGTACCTCTGGTAGAATTTTGCTGTAAATCTGTCTGGTCCTGGACTTTTTTTGGTTGGTAAGCTATTAATTATTGCCTCAATTTCAGATCCTGTTATTGGTCTATTCAGAGATTCAGCTTGTTCCTGGTTTAGTCTTGGGAGGGTGTATGTGTTGAGGAATTTATCCATTTCTTCTAGATTTTCTAGTTTGCATAGAGGTGTTTATAGTATTCTCTGATGGTAGTTTTTATTTCTGTGGGATCAGTGGTGATATCCCCTTTATCATTTTTTATTGCATCTATTTGATTCTTCTCTCACACCTGTTAGAATGGCGATCATTAAAAAGTCAGGGAACAACAGGTGCTGGAGAGGATGTGGAGAAACAGGAACACTTTTACACTGTTGGTGGGACTGTAAACTAGTTCAACCATTGTGGAAGTCAGTGTGGCGATTCCTCAGTGATCTAGAACTAGAAATACCATTTGACCCAGCCATCCCATTACTGGGTATATACCCAAAGGATTATAAATCATGCTGCTATAAAGACACATGAACACGTATGTTTATTGCAGCACTATTCACAATAGCAAAGACTTGGAACCAACCCAAATGTCCGTCAGTGAAAGACTGGATTAAGAAAATGGAATACTATGCAGCCATAAAAAGGGATGAGTTCATGTCCTTTGTAGGGACATGGATGAAACTGGAAACCACCATTCTCAGCAAACTATCACAAGGACAAAAAGCACACACCGCATGTTCTCACTCATAGGTGGGAATTGAACAGTGAGAACACATGGACACAGGAAGGGGAACATCACACACCGGGGCCTGTTGTGGGGTGGGTGGAGAGGGGAGGGATAGCATTAGGAGATATGCCTAATGTTAAATGACAAGTTAATGGGTGCAGCACACCAACATGGCACATGTATACATATGTAACAAACCTGCACATTGTGCACATGTACCCTAAAACTTAAAGTACAATAAAAAAAGAAACTTAGAACCAAATATTATTTAGTAGAGATGTGAAAATCAGAGATCTCTCTGTATTTTACTAACGTTAGTTATTTCATAATATTCTATTATTATCCTGCTACAGCACAGGTGTAAAAACTATTTATTTTGTGTGTACCAGTGTGTTTTCAATCTTTTCCTGGTGTTTTCAGAGATTGATCACACAACTTCTTTGTATTCTCTTTATTACTGTTTACTCTTTTAATCCACCCTCTATTCCCCATGGCATGTCAGAAAATATGGTTTTTAAGACCCTTATAAGTATTAGAGACCCATAGAAGGGCATATTGTTTCTATCACTACCGTTTCTCATGTAATAAAAAAGAATTATTTGATGCTACAACTAAAAATAGGGCTCACTTTATTTCCAATTATTTTGCAGTCCCTTGTTGTATCCACTTCCCCATTTCTTGGCATATTAACGTAATTCCATTAAGGTTATTTCTCTTTTCCCTACCGTATACAAGTAATTCTGACCTGTGCTTAATGGACTCATCACTATTTTTCTTATGTTAATGTATACTTTTATCTCTCTTCTATTTTCCTGTACTCCTACAAAACGATTTCTGATCACTTCATGTCTAATAAATCAAAACATCCATTTTAAGAAAGTACAATTATCTGACCACTTCAATATGTTCTTCTGTGGAAACAACACTGAATACTTGCCTATTGAAATATGCACATATATGGTATTTTACTTTCTTGGGCACTAGAAATATTTGTTATAAAAGGGGATATTGTCCTTGATAAAACTGAGAGCTACTGATCTAGTCCAATTCCTCAGCTATTTTCTTGTAGAAATGGAGGCTTAGAGTGAAAAAGTTATTTGCCTGAGAACACATAGCTATTTAGAGAAATTGACTTCTAAAATCTGAGTTTGCCAATTTCAAACCCAATGATCCTACAACTAGAAAAAAAAAAATTATGTATGTAGTTCTTTTTGTCCTTTCCTTATTTCAGCATAGAAGGCAAGAAGTCAAGTAGAGAGATTTAGGTAATTTCTGATCATGAATTATAAAATCAAGTGAATTTTTTCAGGACTTCACATATAATTTTATATAGAAAATTTCATTTATTGGTTTTCTCCATCTAAAATCTATAAATCCACAGGTTCTTGTTTGAGCAAAAAAAATTGTGCTGTAGATGATGCCTTTTTCATTATAGCATACCTTTGCTCTGCCTTCAAATGCTAAGAAATTGGTTCAGGCAGCATTTTGAAAGGGATACATTTCCCGGGAAATGGCACAGAATTGGAGGCAATCATCTTCCACTGACAGAAAAGAGTGGTGAGCTCAGAAAAGCTGAGAACTTAATCAGTACTGAATCAGACTAAGCACAATGAAGTAGCAGATTATTAGATAGCAGCCTTCAAAAGTGCAATACTTACAATGCAGGTGGAGCATGGGTACTTTGAAAACTTGGCTCAGAATTTATTAAGCACTTCAATTGCACACATTGTATATTGCTGAGAGTTGGTCAAAAGTTTACTACCACAAGACACATTAATTGAATGTATGTGACCTGAAAAAAATGAATAATTTTTAGCAATACATATATTTTAAATTCATTACCTTAGCCTTTCACAGAATCAATGCCACTACATTGATTTCATCGCTGTTATTGCTGTTGTTATTGTTTTATGGTTATAGTTTTTTTTTGGTTGTTGTTTTATGTTGCTCTCAGCAATAAGGTCATTATAAGAAAGAGCAGTATGAAATTAGTGCAGGAAAGCCTTTAATTATTTTAAGGAATCACAGAATTTTGTTTTTTCTCTCTGATCACAAGAAGTGTGTAACATATGTAATCTCTGCTTTCATCTTTTCTGCCAGAAAACTCAGAGCCCAGTTTGGAATACAACTATAGAAAATATCTGGGCCATTGTTTATTTTATTATAATTTTATCAAATTAATTATTTGTGTAAACTACCTCAAACCCTTCATTGAATGATGTGAAGCATAAACAAATAGATTTGAATAAATTGTATCATGTTTCGCCCACATCCAACCAATTTGATCTCAAATATGTGACACTTTAGTTTCCCTTTTAAGCGTTTGAGTTTCCTTGAACCTGAGAAACAGATGTGTTCTTAGAGCAAACACCTGACAGTCTTTGCTAGAAGTGTTTTTAAAAGATAACTAGGGAAGAAATATTAAGTAAAAGGAGAGATTTTTATATCCGATGAAAGAACATTCTAGAATAAAATTATAATAAGTTAACAAAGATATCTTAGCATTTATGTTGTCTCCGGAAAAGGAATTATAAGATGAGCCAGTTGAGGGTGCAGCCTATCTGTATCCAAGCAAGGAAAAGGAGAGGTAAAGATATAATGGTATCCTGGAATTAGCAAGCTTAGAAGTGAACTAGCTAATCAATGCACTTAGTTCTCATGATCTTGGCTCTGAAACTTTATATATCTTTCAAGGAAAGTAATGTGTTCCGTGAAAGAAAGTAAGAGGATAGTTAGCCAAAGAATTTCTGTAGAAACAATATGTTAACTGAGATTCAAAGGATAAAAAAAGCCAGTAAGATGAAGAGGTGGGATGAGGAGAACATTACGGAGAAAACCATAATAACAGAGGTCTCAAGGTAGAGAATAATTTGATGTATTTGAATAACAGAAAAGTTGAGGGTGGTAGAAGTATAATGAGCAAGACTACAAGAAGTATATTAAGTTGAAAACCTGGACACAGGGAAGGTTTAAATAGGGCAGTGGTATAATCTAGTTTGCATATTTAAAATAATACTTTGGCTTCCATGTATAAAGTGTGTGTGTTGATAAGGTGAAGGTGGGCAAGAGAAGGCAGAGACAGGAGGCTGGTACAGTAAGTCCAAGAAAGAGAGGATGATGCCTTAGTCTAAGGTGGCATTTGAAAAGGTGATGATGTGGAGCAGATTCTGGATGCATTCTGAAGGTAGAATTGACATGTCAATAGGACAGAATTTATATCAGTTAAAGTAAAAGGTCTAAAAATGATTCTTAGATTTTTAGTATGAATATAGGGGTGGATTGGGTTAATTTGATAGATAGATTGAGACAACTGTGGGAATAGGATAGAAAAGGTGATAGGTTTTATTTGTTGCATATTAATTTTGACAATCCTGTAAGACATCTAACAGATGTCAAGTAGTAGAATAAATAAGCCAGAGACTTGGATCTGAAAGAAAGGTATGTAGTCTAGAGTCATGGCATATATATAATTTTTAAGTCATAGGAAGAAGAAAATTCAGGACAGACTTCCTTACTTCTCTGTGTCTTCTCTTTCTATCCCTTCATTCCCAGGAGCAAGCCAAAGAAAAAAAAATACAGAAATTTGTGCTCTATCAGTTCCTGGGGCTGTGATTGAGTGGATGATAATTCCATATCACTCAGCTATCAGTTATACTAATTTTGTTGATTCAATGGAAGATTTGTTTGATACCTAGGTTGTTACCTTATAACAAATTTATATCATGGAGGGGTTATTATTTTTTGTTATATTACATTTTTTTGCATTTCATTTTGTATTCATTTAAGCAGGGAAAATACCAAGAACCCATAATTCAAATTTTCCCATCATTGCCACCATTGTCTTTGGGCCACCAAAATCCATGTGTCAGGAGTCGGGGAAAGTAGTCAAAATAATATAATGGAAATCCATAGAAAATAGATGTATATACAATTTTTAATATTTACTATGTGTGTTCACCTAAGCTTTTCCTCCAGCAAATATTGGGGCAGAGGTAGCTAACATGCCTCAATCTCCCAGGCATCATATAGCCTGGAAAGAGGGTTAAGTCTTTAAAGAGCTTACTCTGTATTGTAAGTGTACTCTGTATTGTGTAATATACTCTGTATTGTAAGTGTATTGTGTAATGTACTCTGTATTGTGTACTTTGTATTGTGTAGTGTACTCTGTGTTGTGTAGTGTACTCTGTATTGTGTAGTGTACTCTGTATTGTAAGTGTACTCTGTATTGTGTAGTGTATTCTGTATTGTGTAGTATACCCTGTATTGTGTAGTGTACTCGGTATTGTAAGTATACTTGATATTGTAGGTGTACTCTGTATTGTAAGTGTACTCTGTATTGTGTAGTGTACTCTGTATTGTAGGTGTACTCTGTATTGTAAGTGTACTCTGTATTGTGTAGTGTACTCTGTATTGTGTAGTATACTCTGTATTGTAAGTGTACTCTGTATTGTGTAGTGAACTCTGTATTGTAAGTGTACTCTGTATTGTAAGTGTACTCGGTATTGTGTAGTGTACTCTGTGTTGTGTAGTGTACTCTGTATTGTGTAGTGTACTTTGTGTTATGTAGTGTACTCTGTATTGTGTAGTGTACTCTATTGTGTAGTGTGCTCGTTATTATAAGTATACTTGATATTGTAGGTGTACTCTATTGTGTAGCATACTTTGTATAGTGTAGTGTACTCTGTATTGTAAGTGTACTCTATTGAAAGTGTACTCTGTATTGTGTAGTGTACCCTGTATTATAAGTGTACTCTTTATTGTGCACTGTACTCTGTATCGTAAGTGTAATTTGTATCATGTAGTGTACTTGGTATTGTAAGTGTACTCTGTATTGTGTAGTGTAGTCTGTATTGTAAGTGTACTCTGTATTGTAAGTGTACTCTGTATTGTATAGTGTCCTCTGTATTGTAAGTGTACTCTGTACTGTGTAGTGTAGTCTATATTGTGTAGTGTCCTCTGTATTGTAAGTGTACTCTGTATTGTGTAGTGTCCGCTGTGTTGTAAGTGTACTCTGTATTGTGTAGTGTCCTCTGTATTGTAAGTGTACTCTGTATTGTGTAGTGTCCTCTGTATTATAAGTGTACTCTGTATTGTGTAGTGTCCTCTGTATTGTAAGTGTACTCTGTATTGTGTAGTGTCCTCTGTATTGTAAGTGTACTCTGTATTGTGTAGTGTACTCTGTATTGTAAGTGTACTCTGTATTGTAAGTGTACTCTGTATTGTGTAGTGTACTCTATTGTAAGTGTACTCTGTATTGTAGGTGTACTCTGTATTGTGTAGTGTATCTGTATTGTAAGTGTACTCTGTATTATAGGTGTACTCTTTATTGTGCAATGTACTCTGTATTGTAAGTGTACTCTGTGTAGTGTACTCGGTATTATAAGTGTACTCTGTATTGTGTAGTGTACTCTGTATTGTGTAGTGTACTCTGTATTGTAAGTGTTCTCTGTATTGTGTAGTGTACTCTGTATTGTAAGTGTACTCTGTATTGTAAGTGTACTCTGTATTGTGTAGTGTACTCTGTATTATAAGCATACTCTGTGTTGTAAGTGTACTCTGTATTGTAAGTGTACTCTGTATTGTAAGTGTACTCTGTATTGTGTAGTGTAATCTGTATTGTAAGTGTACTCTGTATTTTGTAGTGTACTGTAAGTGTACTCTGTATTGTAAGTGTAATTGTATTGTACTCTGTATTGTGTAGTATATTGTGCTTTAACTTTTAGAACAGCATATGTTGTGGTTTTTCATATATGTGTGTGTATACTTACATCTGTTTTAGCAATACATTTTGTGTATTTATATATATATTAGAGGCATAATCTGTAGACTTTTTATAAAATAAAATATTTTATACAATTAAACAGATTTCTCAATTATAGCCAGAGTCATTACAAACTAAAATCCATAACCATTTTACAGCAACCTTAGAAGGATAGAGCACAAAGTGCTTTTAATCTTTTCCCAAGAGATCAAGAGTTTCATTCACATCTTCAAAAAATAATTTACATGAAATTAATTATTCAGGAAAAAATAGAACCATTTTTAGAAAATTGAGAGAGATCATAAAATGCTGATCTATAAAGAGGTCCCTGTACAATTATGTTTAGTACATCACCTGACCATGTGGTTAAAGTGGTCTTTTAATAAAGATGCAAAACAGGAATCCAGGCTAGTTCTAGGATAATGGCTAAGTGTTCAGTGGGGATGGATGTTAAGTACTCTGGTTTATTGCATTCTGTTTATTGCATTTTGAATACCTTAAAATGACAATTTAATGTAGCTGAAATTATAAGAAATGTATTTTCTGCCAGCTATTTTTTAGTGAAAACCTGTGAGATATGACTAGAGATCAGAGGCTAAGCCTTTATTACATTTATGGAAATAAGAATGAATTTCTAAAAATGAAAGGGCAACTCCCAGCTGTGGAGAGTTTTATGTTTGTTTTTAACAGACTTTCTACTTCTAAGCCATTACTCCCATGAAAGAGTTCCCTACTGTAGAGCAGACCCTCAGGGCAGAAAATTTTAATCATAAACCTAAAAAAACATTGATTTGTTGACATTTTTGAAGGCATAAATATAGTCTTCATATGACCTTAACCAGGATGAGGAAACCTTGGTCAATCATGAAATTCTGACTGACTGGAGGGTAAAATCCTTCAGTGGAGTACCAGTCAAAAAAAAAAAAAAATTCATAGGATGAGGTGATTTTACATTTGTTTTTTAAAAATATAAATCTAAAATATTGTATTTTCTGGCTTTATAAAGTAAGAACAAGAAAAATAAAATCTATTAGCTCTCATTGCTATTGGATGATTCAACCAAAATAATGCTTTATTACTGTTATGGATATTTATGGGAAGAAAGAGAAAGAAACAGTGGTAGTAAAAGAAAGATAAATAAAATAAGAGGGTGAAGGTAAATACAGAGGAGAGGACCAACCAGGAAGCAGGGAAGAGAGAAAGAAGGAACCATGTGCTTAAAAACACAAAACACGGTCGGGCGTGGTGGCTCATGCCTGTAATCCCAGCTCTTTGGGAGGCCGAGGCAGGAGGATCACGAGGTCAGGAGTTCAAGACCAGCCTAGCCAACATAATGAAACCCTATCTCTACTAAAAATACAGAAAAAAAAAATTAGCAGGGCATGGTGGCAGGCACCTGTAATCCTAGCTACTCAGGAGGCTGAGGCAGGAAAATCACTTGAACCTAGGAGGCAGAGATTGCAGTGAGCGAGATTGCACCACTGCACACCAGCCTGGGAGACAGTGCGAGACTCTGTCTCAAAAAAAACCACACAAAACATTATCAGTTAGGAGTAGGTTTTTCTGAAGATAACAGAAAAAGCCAAAATAACAGTAGCTTAAACGAAATAAATCTTTATTTATCCTCCATATAAAATTTCAAGCCACAAGGACACTGCCAGCATGACGGCCCCACAACAATTGGCAAAGCTGGCTCATTCTGTCATGTTGCCCAGCCCAAAGTAATATGATGCTGAATTCTCGAAGATGGCTGCACATTTGCTCATCAATCAAGTCCATATTCTAACCAATCTTAGGGAGTAAAGCATAAAGAAAAGCATGCCTTGTTCCAATAGTCAAATTTCCCTGAAGTTGCACACTTAATCACATGTCCAAACCTAGATGTAAAGGATGCCAATAAATGTTAACATTATCTCAAGTTAAAATTTGGAGTTTCTGTTGCTAAGTAAAAAGTGAAACATGGACATTTCTATATATAATTTGTACTCCTTGTCACCGAAACCCATCATTTATTCCTTTTTCCTGGAAACATAAAAATTAGTTATTTGTTATAGTTATAACAAAGTAATATTTCCCAATTCCTCTAAACAGTCAGAATTTTTCTGTTTGTATGTTTAATCATTAGATAACATTTTAGTAGTCAATTTTAATTTTCCCATGGAAGTTTGAAGTTTTCCTTAGATACAGAAAATAATTTCTGGAGATTTTAAAATTTACTTTGAGATTACAAAAGGATTTCAGCCAATTAACTATGTCTGCTCATATCCTTAGTATTGTCTTCCTTCCACAATTCAAATTTACAGCTGTGATTTATTGGTGTGAATAGCTAAAGCATCCAGATTTCATGTATTCTTTCAGTAAAGACAAATTGTTTAATGTAATTCAGTTGTTATTCCTTTGTAGGACACTGCATATTAAAAAAAAAAAGAAAAGCCTCATTTTTATTCTATATGCCCCTATGTGGAATTGAGAAAATAAGGCTATTTCTCCATGTTGGGAATAACTTCTAAAAATTGTATCAGTGAAAAAAATAGTGTAACTTAGAATTAAACTTATGTAGTGTTTACCAATATTGAAATGCATTTTCAGATTCTAATGAATAGAATGTTGTATGACTTCCAAGGCTAGGTCATAACAGGGAATATTGTCTAGTAGGCTTTCCCTCTTTCCCAGGCATGAACCTTCAGAGCCCTGAGCTGCCTTGTAAGAAGTCTAGCTAGCAATGCCACCATGCTGGAGAGATGATGAGGGAAAACTACATACAGACACAAACAGAGTGAGACACTCAAGAAGCCCTAGTTGTGGAATACAGCAGTGCTATGGAGGCTTGACATAACCATCTACTTTTCCAGAAACCCACATTGTCTAAGGTAAGATAGTGTGTGCGAAAGTTTATTGAATCCGTTGATTCGCTACCTATTTCTGCTAATTCACTTGATTAACATCTGTTCAATAATGATGTGTAATCCATCCCTGGGAAATTTGAAATGTGAGGTGAAAAACTAAAGACCTGAAGGGCACAGGCAGTATAATTATTTTTCTTTAAAAATAAAAGTATTTCATTCAATGGGCTGGGTGCGGTGGCTCACACCTGTAATCCCAGCACTTTGGGAGGCTGAGATCTCAGGGAGGATGGTTTAAGGCTAGGAGTTTGACACCAGCCTGGTCAACAGAGTGAGACTCCATCTGTATTTAAAAGACATTAAAAATAAAAAAAGAAAAGTATTTCATTCAATGATCAAAACTTTGTCGCTTTGTGACTTGTACTTACAACAAAGCCCTACTCTCATTTGAAAGAGAAGGAAATATGACATATAGAGGAGGCAGAAATCCAGTGGAAATAATATAGTTTCAAAACCCTTTCATGTATACAGTCATATGTTACTTAATAATGGGGATACATTCTGGGAAATGAGTCATTAGGCAACTTTGTCATTGTATGAACATCATAGAGTGTACTCATGCAAACCTGAATGCTACAGCCTAATACCAACCTATGCTATAAGGCGTAGCCTATTGCTCCCAGGCTTTTAATTTATACAGCATGTTACTGTATTGAATACTGTAGGCAACTTTGCCACAATGGTATTTGTGTATCTAAACATAGAAAAGTTACAATAAAAATATAGTATTATAATCGTATGGAACCACCATCCTATAGGTAGTCTGTCATTGACCAAAACATTCTTATGCAGCACATGACTGTATTATTTTATCCAAACTCCACAGCAGTCTCTAAGGATTAAAAGAAGGTTTTCTTTACACTCCAGAGATGAAAAACCAGAGATTCAAAAAGGCTAAGTGGGTCCCTGGTCAAATACCATTTCCTTTAAGACCATCATGACTAGGTTAAATGTCTCTTTCATGAGTATTTATAACACCATATGTCTTTCCATTGCAGTGCTTAAAATATTTATAATTTACATTATTTATATGACTTAAATATTAAACTTGTCTTTTCCACAAGATTGTACACTTCATTGGAGCAGGGACTGAGTCTTCTTTTGCTCACTCTTGTACGTCTAGTTTATGTAGGTATTAAGTAATATTTTATTAATTAAGTCATGTTCTCCAATTGATAAAATAATACCCTAAAAGTACCAAACCATTGATGTGAGTCTGAACCTCCAAATCTCTAGCTCTTCAAAAGGTTTGAAAGGACCTTATTTCAGGGCTGTTTGTGGCAAAAAGTCACGGAATCTCACAAGACTTTTAAAATGCCTTCCTACTGAACTAGAATTCAGATTTTTAAATTCAGTCACCAGATGGGGCAAGATAATCACTAACAAATCATAAACGTGGTGTGTTTCAAAGACAGTGTTTTCATTTATTCATTTACTCAATTATTTATGCATTTCTAACAAATACATTTCAGTACCTCCTAAAATGACATTAGGTGGTATAGAGAATAAAATGAAATTCATGTACTCAGGATCTTTATAATCAATTTTAAGTGGCCATAGAATTCTATGTCATTTTTTGAAATGAAAGATGACAACAGATGATTAAGTTCCAAAAGCATTGTGCAGGGAATTCATCTATTAGGCATTCATTGAAAACCGAAGTGGTTAGATATAGTTTCATGGAAAAAGATATGCAAAAGCAGGATAAGTCACACACTTACTGTGGAAACCGCAGGCATGATTGGGGCAACTAATTAGTGTGTGGTAATGCAGTTAGGAGGGGGAATGTGATGACAATAATGAATAAGCAAGCAAAAGCAAGATCGCAAAGGCCCTTGTGTCCTCTTCATCCTGAAATCTATTGGAAACTATGGCATAATTTTCCTGTTGGCAAGTCATATGGAAATAATGCAGATTGTCTAGTAGACATCTGTAGATGTCTAGTTTATTGTATGAAGTAATATTTTATGAATGAGTTAATTAAGTCATACTCTTCATTTGATGAAATAATACCCTAGAATGGGATAGGGCAGGGTGCAAATGGCTTACAGAAGGCAAGGAGATGAGCTATGAGTGTTGTAAACAATACAGATACAAGATATCAGAACATAGAAGCTACAGTTCTTGTTGATTTAGTGAATACTGTGAGGTGAAGAAAAATGAATAAGACACAGAAATATAATGTAAGTCCTAGAATTCTTATTTCAGAGGTTAGGAAGAAGATGGTGCCATTTACTAAGGAAGAGAAAAAGAACTGTAGATTATACAAATTTGGGGGAGAGAATAAATCATTCAGCTCAAGTACATATAAATTAAGGTGTTAGTGAAAGATGCAATCGTAGATATTCATGAGACAGTTGAAATTTAAAAATAAAATAGAGAACATATAAATAGAAGACACAAAAAAAGGATTGATATCAAATGGGACAAAAAGAGAAAAGCTACATCACTGAAAGTCAACAGCACATCAGAGGTATTTTGTGACAAAAATTTAGATTAAGTCACATAGGATCAATACATAGTATGAGAATAGAAAGATGAGGAGGGAATCATGGAGAAAACTAACAGGGCTTGAACAGAACTAGAGGAGACTGCGAAGAATTGGCCCAGATACATGACAATAAGCTGGTGAGGGTAATGACCCCAAAACCAAGGGAGAACAGAGTCGTGTGAAAGAGGAAGTAATCAACAGCATCGGGTGCTGCTGCTGAACGTTCAAATAATGTAAGGACTGAAAGAAAAATGTTGATTTTGGCAGCTAGGATATTACTGGTAACCATCGTGAGGGCAGTTTCAGTTTGGTGCCAGAGGCAGAAGGCAGATTTCAATAAGTTGAAGTGGAACTGGCAGGTGAGGAAACCAGTTCTTCAGTGAGAAGAGATTCCTTTTCAAAAAGCTTGGCTATAGAGACACAGTGAGATCTAGGCTAGTGAGGACTGTGTGGCAAAGGAAGGGTCTTTTATTTTAATGTGGAAGAACATAGAATGTATTTTTTGGGGTGATACAAACTGGTAGACAGAAAATTATTGATTTCACAAGATTCCTAAAGAATTTGGAAGAGATGGGATCCAAATTTCAGGTAGAGATACGTATTTCAAATAAAAGACTATAAAATTGAAGCAAAGTTGTTAAATATGACTCCTAATATAATAAATATCATAAATTTGTAGGTGATAACAGAGGAAATACCTGCCTGATGCTCTCAATGTCATCAGTTAAACTGAAGGCACAACAGAAAGGATTTGTCAGTAAGTTAAGCAAGAATAGGAGAAATGGGTCTGTAGAAAAGAAGCACAGCACAGTGGTGGGGAGGGGAGGTATGAGCAGTGAGAGGGTAGATAGAACGAGAATCTTCTATTTTTGATGTTGGTAGAGTTGATCCTGTCAATCAGAATGGATGACACACAAGTATTAAATCTTGGAAGCTCTCTCTGGGCTAGATTTCAACCTTTGCTTATAGCTTGGGGAGAACCAGAGTAGCCCCAAGAGAAGGGCTTGGTTATCTGTGCCATGGGAACGAGGAAGCCTTAAGATAGCAAATGACAATTTGTCAAATTGCATGGAATTCCTTCATTACTTTAATAGTTGATATGGTCATACCTGTACATACTGACAGAATATCAGCTGTTAGTGTTGGCCAAGGATAGTAAAGAAAATCAGGCCTGCAGATTTTGGTTATAATTTGTTTTCTATGCCACTGAGCAAAGAGATACTGGACACAGTGGTGGACAGGGTAGGCCTAGAAAATAAATGTTAGTTTGCAGTCCAGTGATTAATTTGAAATCTTTTATCCAGATTCCCAATAGACAGTGAAAAAGTTGTTTTATGACTCATCAAAGTTTTTCTCTGGATGGAAGGATGTATTAGTCCATTCTCGCACTGCTATAAAGAAATGTCTGAGACTGGATAATTTATAAAGAAAAGACTTTTAATTGGTTCATAGTTCTGCAGGATGTATGGGAAGCATTGCAGTTTCTGCTTGTGGTGGGGGGTGCATCAGGAAACTTCCAACCATGGCAGAAAGCAAAAGGTGAATGAGGAGCTTCACATGGCTGGGGCAGGAGGAAGCGGGGAAGGTGCCACACACTTTTAAATGACCAGATCTCAAGAGAATTCACTCACTATCCCAAGAACAGCACCAGAGGGGAATCCACCCCCGTGATCTCGTTACCTCCCACCAGGCCCCACCTCTAACACTGAGGATTACAACTCAACATGTCATTCAGGCAGGGACACAGATCCAAACCATATCAAAGGGCTAGGACAATAAAGTCATAGTCATAATAGTAACTATGACTAATAAGGGTCTTCATAGTCATGAGAAATAAACATTGCTTATCTGCCCGTCCTCAACAACCCATTCCCATAGTCACACCTTAAAGCTTGTCATTACCAATTACAGCATCAGCTCCAATATTTTTTATGTCTAGCATCCCATTCTAGGAAAAATACTTCTTGACTTTTTAGCAATTTCCTTCTTATACTCCCACTCACAGATTATATTCAACACACTGACCCTACCATTTCTTCAGTGTCTACTCCCTCAATCCATGTCTCCCTTTCTTTTTACTCAGCTTAAATTTCATTCTATGGCCCAGCATTAAAATAACTCCTATGCAAATATGCTCATTTCTTTTTACACTCCTCCACTCTGAAAGAACTTATATGGTAAAACCTATTAATCACAAGCCTCTCCCTACTTCATCTTTCACTTAAGCAGCTAAACCTACTGGGAGGAAAAAAAAACAATCTTGCTAATTTTATCAGCTGAGTCTCATGAAAATTAAATTATATAATGAAGGTGAACATTTCTTGTAAACCATAAAGTGTATGCATATAACCTTTCATTTTTGTTTCATTTTCACTTTAAATTCAAAGTAGCAAATTCATAGCATATTTTTACAATTGCCAGATAAATCTACACTTCCCTAATTCATTTACCCCCAACTCTACCATACTACTAACCATTTCACACATTCCCCTCTCTACTCAAACATTTAAAGCCTCCTTGCCCTTCTCAATTTAAGTTTATGTCATTACTTTTTCCTTCATTGGCAACTCAACATATATAGAGCAAACTACAGAGTCAAATTAGTCTTGAAAATTTCTTGAAAGTTAACACATTGGAGACTGACATACCATCTCTTGCATTTAATACAACTAGGCTTTCTTCTAGCATTGAAACTGTTTCTTTAGTTTAGTAACAGATATAGCCTGCATTCACAGTCCATGTTGTACCAAAAATGTCTGTCTTTAAACATTATACATTCCATAGCAAGATGCACACACAACAAGTGGTATATGGGAAGTGACTTCACCTGGAGAAAGAGTAGATTTACCTCTCCCATCTCACTCTTACTCTAGGGCATAAATTCATTAAATAAAATGGTAGGATAAATGTTTACCCTACATAAATCTATATTTCTATATCTTTTTAGTATCTTGGTTTTTTGATATGTGGACAGTCTGAGCTACTGAGTGTGAAATTATTATTTTTTATTTTTTAATTAATTAATTAATTTATTTTTTGCAACAGAGTCTCACTCTATCGCCCAGGCTGGAGTGCAGTGGTGTGATCTCAGCTCACCGGCTCACTGCAACCTCTGCCTCCCGGGTTCAAGTGATTTTCCTGCCTCAGTCTCCTGAGTAGCTGGGACTACAGGTGTGTGCCACATGCCCAGCTAATTTTTGTATTTTTAGTAGTGACAGGGTTTTACCATGTTGGCCATGCTGGTCTCAAACTCCTGACCTCAGGTGATCCACCCACCTCAGCCTCCCAAAGTGCTGGGATTACAGGCGTGAGCCACCATGCCTGGCCGAGTGTGAAATGTTAATACATATTATATAATAAATGTATTATGTGATCCCACTGTAAAACACAATGTGTTTCCTGCTTCTTATTAAATTTAATAGTCCATTTAAAATGCTTAGTACAGTGCCTGGCATACAGTAAACCATAAATGTTAGCTATTAGTAGTAGTCTTTTTAGTACAAGTGTTAATATTCAAGAGTTGATGTTACAGCCAAGTAGAGAGGATATAGGCAACGAAGATAAATGGTGGCATAGCATAAGTGCTAAATAACTATTATAGGTGCTTAGAGCAGAGAGAGATCACCATCAGCTGCAACATCAATGATTAGATTTGAAATGTTATTCATGAAAATACGTGAGGTTACAAGAAAAAGAAAGCCAGCAGCTGTGAACCAACAGTTCAGATAAAATACGAGGCAAAATTGGAGACAATTTCTAGACTAATTCCAGAAAGATAAACCACAAAATGAAAGGTTGTATGCATATACTTTATGGTTTACAAGAAATGTTCACCTTCATTATATAATTTAATTTTCATGAGACTCAGCTGATAGAAGGGCAGGTGTTTCTGTTGTAATTTTACTAATGAAGAAATTGTCCTTTAGAGACTGGTTGACTTTCTTAGACTCCTTCTGCTCAGCAATAGGACCTGAAGAAAAGCTACATAGTGGTTCTCTGACTCTAAGCCCAGCATTCTAGCCATTGTATTCTTCCTGTTTTGCCTGAAACAATAATTCAAGGAGAATACATGTGCTGTGATAGTAAGTGGCAGGCTTAATATATTGCTTAAAGTACTTTGTTGTGTTGACAAAGTCCATTTAAAAGGAATGAGGAAATCTTTAAAAGTTGTACAACCATCAATACTGTTTTCCATTAACTAGACACGCTGGTATCATCTTAATTCAAATATTTGTAAGCAGAAAAGAGATGCTCATTTTCATTCACAATGCCTTCCGTACCCCATCTGGCACAAGCAATTTCCTTTTGTTTGCCTTTAAACGGTGTTATAAAGAAATTAATTTTACCCGGAGGGCTTTCACTATAAATCTCACAACTTTCATTCTGGTTAATTTCTCAGTTTCATCATTGGTAACAAATTATTCTTGTGGGGGGAATTGTGCTTGTCAGTTTCTCTAGTTTAGCACATCAGATTTTTTATTAGGTCTAGCCATTAACAAAATTCTTTGTTTTCTTTCCAAAGTTGTCAAGAGCTATTTTAATTATTTTATCATAAGGACACATTTTACATTGGTGTATATTTATTAATTGGAAAATTACCTTTTCAAATTAGTTTATAATGAGAATGATTATGTTTATTGTCACTTAGACAAGTGGTTGAGTGAAAAAAGAATCAATTTAACTTAATGTTTGTGATTAATAACTAAAAATATAAATGTGTACCTCGTAATTGTTTAACCAGACTTCTTGTGGAGTTTTCTCTATGATTTTAATAAGTGATTAGAAAAGTCTGCTGATGCATAACCTCAGATTCCTAAAGGTCACTGGTCTTTGGGAGACAAAAGACAAAAAAATAGAACAATGCTATCACTATTATTAATTCTTTCTTAACTCACTACTCTAAGTTGGGCTAGACTTGTCATCAAGAATATAAAGGTTGACAAGATATAATTCCTGGCTTCAAAGAAGTCATAATCTAAAAATGTCTCACTATCAACAGCTACCACTTTTTCAACATTTTCTGCATTATGCAGACTTCCAGCTTTTTATCACAAGAAATATAAATCCTATCAACTTTGGAAGAAAAATGCATAGTAAGAAAAGTGAAATTCATAGAAGTTACTTACTAAAGGTTATAGAGCTACTAAGTAGTAGATTGAGGAATTGAACCTGTTTCTCTGTCTCTCTCTCCTCCTCCCACCCCCTACCCTCCCAGCCCGCCCACCAACCCCTGCCCCTCACTCCTACTCCTTACCTTTCTTTCACTACCATGGGATGAGAGCTATATAGTTAGCAGTTGCCGGACAACCATGCTATAAAAGCATGAAAGAGTCACTGCCTCACTTTTCTTGGTCTCTGCCACTCAGAAAGACCTGACCTTGAATATTAGTCAAAGAAAACCCCATACTCACCGAGATCACTATTTATCTCACATACATGGTCTTTCAAACATCCTGGAGGCAATGCTGTTCACAAATCACCGGGCATTGCTGAGGCGTTTGGTCAGCACTTCCAGAGAGCATCATGATCTAAGCCTAGAGCCAAAGCTGGTCAAACTCCTCTGGCAGTGTCTTCTGAGAAACCACACAGGGTATCATGTGCAATCTTTAGTTCAGATAAACAGGCATTTTTGAGCTCTAACTCTGTGCTAGAACCTGAACCCAAAAGGTAGGAATAAATGGAGGATTAAAACAATGTCTGCCCTCAGCAATTCTAAGGAGAAACACATCATAAGCTCATTTGGATGAGGATTAAGAGCAAAATAGAAATTTATTCAGAGATAACATGGAAAAAAATATTTTTCTTATCGGAAATGTCCAAAAACTCAAGATTGTCAGATGTACAAGAATGCTCTGTCTGGGTTGATGTGGGATGATGGTGATAGTATCACAGTAAAATTGTAATATTTTGAACATTTAAAACAATTTACACAAATATTTTTCAAAATAAAATTAGAGAGGTGTCTCTTAAAAGTACATACTGAGGGAGATTAGATTTAAAGCCTACTTTAGTTTAATCAGCTGCAAACTGTGATCCCCAGCAATTTACCTGCTTCTCTTAGACTCAACTTCTTCATCTAAAAAGAAGTGGTAGTAATGACATCTACTTTTCATGTGTGTCTGATGTTTGAATGAGATAATGAGGGTTAAATGCTTAGCACATATTATTGAGAGGCAGAATGTACGCATGTAAACAGAATCAGTATTTGAATTTGCAAAAACACATATAATTTACTTTTGGAGAGTCTGATATTCTGTAGGATACAGAATTTCAGGCTGCTTTGACAATTATTGTAGATGAATATTTCGATATTTATCTGTAGGAAAGGGAATAGAACATCAGAAATGCCTGATGTGTTATAATCCTATGATTGATGGAGTATCAGATATTGATAATTTTTGGTTTTTTATCATAAAGTTGTTCTGAATTCTTCGAGCTGGAAGACCTCACATATGCAAGATAAAACTATGTTTACATGGCCTAGACTAGCATGCTCTTCTATCCTGAGTGGATTGTAGTTATTCTGAAATTCCTTGTGGCACTGTTATAATGTGGGTTTCACAGCAGGGACCATAACTTCTATCTGTAGATTTGTAGTGCCTGACACATAGCAGGTGCTCAATAAGTGCCTGTTGAAGGGAAATTGGTAACTTCCATTCATTTAAACATTATAAATTTTACTTTTTCGATATATACATTTACAACCTCATTTTAATTTCTAATCACAACATAATAAAAATTACTGACAAAATCACACAGCTGGAGAAATTGATGTAATTAGTGGCACTTTAAATTCATAAACGTCATGATCACCGGCCTGTAGTAGATATTCACTAGCACCCTGTAATCCCAATATATTTCTCCAAGTAGCATATTCTTCTATTTTCTACTCAGCTGCCTTTTTTTTTTTTTGAGACGGAGTCTTGCTTGCTCTGTCGCCCAGGCTGGAGTGCCGTGGTGCGATCTTGGCTCACTGCAAGCTCCACCTCCCGGGTTCATGCAGTTCTCCTGCCTCAGCCTCCCAAGTAGCTGGGACTACAGGCACCCACCACCACGCCCGGCTAATTTTTTTGTTTTTTGCTTTTTTTAGTAGAGACGGGGTTTCAACGTGTTAGCCAGGATGGTCTCGATCTCCTGACCTCATGATCCGCCCACCTCGGTCTCCCAATCAGCTGCTTTATATTGCTCTTTGTATACCTCCCCCCACCACCACCACTGTATTGGGATGATCTTGCCTCACAGTTCACAGATAAAGCAGAAGCCATTGTATCGGAGTTCCTCTTCTTCCCATCACCAAATCAACAAACCTACCTGACTCTGCACTCATCTTTTTCTGCCCTTTAAATGCAATGGAGGAGGCATCTGCCTCCCAACATTCAGCAAAGGTGATTCCTTTACAAGTCCATGTCCTTTTGCCATTCACCTTTTGAAGGGCTTTGCTGCCTGATTATTCTACGTCTCTTGTGCATCACCAATCTCTCCATCTATACTAAAGTATTCCCACTAGCATGCAACTGCTGTTTACCACAGTCCATCTGGGAGCAATGTTTCCTGACCTCCGCTTACTCTGTTCCCATTTCTCTGTTCCCTTTCTGGGCCAAACTTGTCACAAGAGTTGCCACATCATGCTCTCTACACTCCTCCTAGCTGTTCACCCTTCAAATTCGTTGCAGTTTCTCTTCCACCCTCACCATCTCTACATAACTGTTCTTGTTAAAGTCTCCAATGACCCCATGTTTTCTGCTCTCACTGGACCCTCAACAGTTCACCATTGCTTCATGAAATACTCTTCTTTCTTGCCATCCACAATACCACTTTATTTTAACCTTTCTCCTATCTGCATACTCCTTTAAAATAAATTCTGAATATGAGCACTTATTACCATCCCCACTGCTGCTTCCCTACTCCAAAGCATAATCATTTCTTTACAAAATTTTTGTAATTGGCTTCTAACTAGTATCCCTACTCTACTCATTATCCTTACCTGTTAACAGCCTTTTCCCCACTCATCAGCATTAAAAATCCTCATAGCTTTCTGCCTTACTCAATTCAAAATCCAGAGTGATTACCAGGACCCATAAGGCTATATCCAACCTGGCCTCTGGTTACCTGTCTGACGTTGTTACCTTTTACCTTCTTCCCCATTCCTTGGGCTCCAGACATACTACTCTCCCTTGTTGCTGTTCCTGCAGGTTCCAGGAAACTTCCCATAAGGGCATTTATATTTCCTGTTTCTCAGACTAGAACATTCTTTGCCTGGATATCAGTAGGCTTATTTCCTACTCAGTTCTTTGTTCAAATATCACCTTATCACAAAAGACTTTTCTGCTCACCCCAAAATCTTTATTTCTCTTTCACAGCTTTTATAAAAATATGCCATGATATACATGCATTGTTTATTGCGATTCCCTATTCTAGCATATAAGCTCCAAGAGAGTGGAGACTTGGTCTCTTTGTTTACTGCTGATTCCTCAGCTCTTGGAACAGTCTGGTACTTAGTAATTATTTATTAAGTAAATGGTAAATTGAATTTTTGTTTACTTGCATACTTTTACTGGGTTATAAACCCTATGACAGCCTATCAAAAAACTATATAGCTAATTAAATTATCACAGAGGCTACTGAAAATTCTCAATATATTTACTTGATACTTCCACACAATTTTCTTAACAGAACTAAACTCAACATGTCAAAACTAAGCTTGTTATTCTACCCATCAAACTATGTGTTCCTGACTTTACTATTTCCATTAATGCAGTGCGATCCTCTCAGTCATGCAAATTTAGATATTTAAGCCTCTTTTTACCTTTTATGCTTCTCCCTTATTGCTGTATTTACATCAACAGATGCCAAATTTTTAATTATTACTTCTGTAAGGACACTTTGTCTCTTTGTTTCCATTCCCACTGCCACACACTAGTTTAGACTTTTCTGCTTGAATCTGTCTTAATCATCTTCTAATTCTTCTCCTGGTCTTCACTTCTGGATGTTTTGATCATGTTATTAACTAATTAATCACTCTTAATCATAACTCTCATACTCAAATCCTTAATTGTCTATCCATCACCAGTTTAGCTCCAGTGAGCATATAATTTATTATCCAAATAAGTACATTTTTCAGAGTAAAAAGGACACTATTATTAATTACATTGGGACAACACATATGAACTGGAATTGTCCAAGCAAACCAAAATGCATGGTCATTTTAACTTCCACAAGGACTGTTGATTGCTTACTCAATAATCATTCCTCCCTTCTTTCTGAAACACACACACACACACACACACACACACACACACACACAAAACAAACAAAAAAAAACAGTTTTTTTAAGCATTTACTCCTCCTAAAAATGATTTAGTGATATAAATTGAATTTTCTTAGCCAACGTGGAAATTGCATTGCATTGCATTCCTTTTGTCAACAATTGATTTAGCAAGGAGGATATAATCTAATTCTAGCCTCTCAAAAGAAGTGAGAGGTAGTTTGTTTCAGGAAAAGAGATTCATGAAAAAGGATTATGGATACATTTCTTATCCTTATTCTAGTTTATGTCTTGTCTGCATGTAATGCCTGAAGCTTCAGTAGCCAGTTTGTGATCATGAGGTGAGCTAGTGGAAGACAAAGCTGACATCCTAGCCTATCTGAGAGAAAAATGAAAATAACTTGGTTCTTTAATTATATTATTGAAATACTGAATTAAGCAAAACTGTGGGTAACTTGCCCCTAAAAGCAGGATACTCTTCTGCTAGTGTGAGATAATACATTTTCTTTATTGTTTAAATGAATTAAAGTGGAGTTTTCATGACTTGCTGCTGAAAGCATTCCATTTGATGCAAGCTAATACATCTGTCTGCCTCTTTCTTACTCTCTCTCTCTCTCTCTTTCTGGCTTTCAGTATTCCTTACCTACAGCTTCTTCTTCCTTCTTATCTAAAACCTGTTTCAGTACACTCTACTTTTTAGATGAAGACCAGAATCTATTTTTAATATACTTTAATTTTTGTACTGTCTTTATACAGGTTGCCCCTCATTTCAGAAATAACTTCTGTTCATTTTCTGAAAGCTAAAACCCTCCAGACCTACCCATCTCAGATATTATCTCCTCATGAAAGTTTACTGATTCTTGAAATGCATCTTATCCTTGTGTCTTTTAAACCTATATTGCAATAAATTCACATTTCTCTCATTACACTGATTTAACCACATCCTACAGTTTTATGCACAATGCTAAATCTTCTACCTATTCATACTCTTCTCAGTATGCTTTAAACATCTGACACAGAATTTTGCATATTTAGTTATTAAAATTGATATTTTGAAAACATTTCACAATGTACAGTTATTAGTGAGTTGAGTAGTAGTACTGTTTACTATAATTTGCGAGTTGCCACACTAAGAAAAGTATGTCCCTATCCTCAACTTAGTATTTTAAAACATAGAAGAGGGAAAAAATAAGTATCTAATAATTAACATTTTTTGGTTGGCAAACAGATGCTACAAATAATACATCTTTTGCATGCATCTGTCCTAGATAACTAGTTTGCCAAAGTAATTTTATTGTCAGTGCCTTTCTACAATATATATTGAACACTTTGAAGAGATAAATGGAAGCTTGCCATACAGGATGCCAAATTCAAAACTTCATTCTTTACTGAATTAAAAAGAATACAGGGGAAAGACAGAAATATGTATCAGTTTATGGTTATACTTCTTACTCAGATGAAATGCCTCTGCTTTACTATGTTAATATTTCCATCAGACTTGAAAGTCTATTCCTGTTCCAGTTCCTTTATTTTAAAGAATTGAATTTACCAAGAGAGACTAAGGCAGGGAGAGTCAGGAGAGGGCTTACATTGATGGAGTGGTTAATATATGTCCAGGCACCATACTAAGAACTTTACATATGTCATCTTATTTTATCCTTAGTATAATCCCCCAAGGTAGATATTTTTATCTCCAGTTTACTAACGAGAAATCAGATGCACAGAATAGTGTCCGCCAATATAGTTACCAAATGACAGAGCCAAGATTTGAACCCACATAATTGATTAACTAAACCCAGGTCACCTTCACCAAATATGTAAATATCTTAATATTTTTGCTTAAAGGTCAAAAGCTATGTTTAGTAATATAGAATTTTCAGGATGTAAATTAAGGAATTCACAAGTTAGTAGATGAAGCAAATGCCCATGAATAATAAAATATAAAGAAAAATTTAGTAAAACCATAAAGAGTTCAGAAATGAAATATTGCGATGTCTGAATTTAGATTCGGGCTATGGATAGGTTATGTACAAAGTGAGTGCAGAAAGCACAAGCAAGAGAGTGCAGATAGGGAGACAGGGAAAGGCAAGATACCAATAAACAGTGCATTAATAAATAGAAATGTCCAGGGGCAACTGATGTTTAATTCTGCTAGAAGCCTCTGAGGAGTTAAGTGGAATGCATTTTAAAATTGCTCCACCTGGGGATTGAGAAGCTGAGCTATTTATCTATTCACTTACACCTTTCATTGTTTGAGGGTTATCTCTGGGGGTTGTTATATCCTCAGCACATCAGGGCTTCCCTGCACTACAAGCACTGCACTGGGAAAAGTCCTCAGGCAGAGGAGCAGAGACAAAAACCCTTGCACTGCGAAATTGTCAGACCACACATGCACATGCATGACACCTGTCCACAGCTCAGAAGGGAAACGGGATGAGCAACAACACAGTCAGCTATGCATGGGAATGTAAGGGAGTTTAAGGAGTGTGAGGGAATCAGGGCAGGAATCACAGATGAGATAACATTTTGGGTGGGTAGAACTGAACTCAACAAGGTTTGACAACATGTACGGAATAAGAGGCCGGAAGTGGAAATGAGTTTTGCTCAATTTCAGCCTACCTTGGCAATCCAATTTAAAATGGCAACACTTTCTTCCCACCATCCCTTACCACAATTCTTTGTTTGTTTGTTTGTTTGTTTGTTTGTTTGTTTTGGAGACAGAGTCTTGCTCTGTCGCCCAGGCTGGAGTGCAGTGGCGTGACCTTGGCTCATTGCAACCTCCATCTCCTGGGTTCCAGTGATTCTCATACCTCAGACTCCGGAGTAGCTAGGACTACAGGTACGCACCACCACGCTGGGCTAATTTTTGTATTTTTAGTAGACATGGGGTTTCGCCATGGTGGCCAGGCTGATCTCAAACTTCTGACTTCAAGTGATCTGCCCGCCTCGGTCTCCCAAAGTGCTGGGATTACAGGCATGAGCCACCACACCCAGCCCCCTTACCACAATTTGGTCCCCCTGCTTACGTGATCTACTTGCTTTCCATAGCAATTTCTACCACACAGTATAATTTACTCACTTGTTATGTTTATTGTTTTCTGTCTATACCATCTACTGCCACTATAATGTAAGTTCCAATAGGGCAGGAAATTCGTATATTTTGTTCACTGATATATCCTGGGTGCCTAGAAGAGTGTCAGACACTTCAAAGTTGTTTGATAAACATTTGTTGAACAAAATAATGAACTTGAGCATTAAGCTCTTCAATTAGTAGATGGTTATCTATAAGTTTAATGAGATGAAGAATCTAAAAAGAGAAGAAAGAATGAGAAAGAAAATGAATGAATGCAGTTTGGTGCCCAGTTGAATCCACTGGATCCCTATGAGACATCAGTCATGTTTCTGTACACTGGAAAAGAAAGAAGGGCAAGGAATCTATGTTTTGTTGGCACTCTGTTTTTGCTGTTTAACTTTATATTCAGCATCATGCATTTGGTACGTTTTCAAGGATCTTTTTTCTCAGTAAATAATCTATGTTTATAGTATTAATATACCCTGGCAGAAACAATAATCTCACATTTTTCTGGCATCATCTATCCTCAAGGGCCTCTAAGCTTTTGTGCTGAAAAGTTATTTTTCTTATGGTTTTGCATTTGCTTCTTTAAACTGAGAGCATCTGTCACAGGAGCTGATTCTGCTTGGCAGCTCCCACTCACTCAATAGTGCCCTTAACATCACTACCAGACTCAGAAATCTGCTTTCTCTATGTCTTATTTTTCTGAGCTAAAGTGTCACATGATTCTCCTCTGATCATACACGCTGGGTGGAACTATGAGACACCATCACTGGCCATCAAGAAATGCAAATCAAAGCCACAATGAGATACCATCTCACACCAGTTAGAATGGCAATCATTAAAAAGTCAGGAAACAACAGGTGCTGGAGAGGATGTGGAGAAATAGGAACACTTTTACACTGTTGGTGGGACTGTAAACTAGTTCAACCATTGTGGAAGTCAGTGTGGCGATTCCTCAGGGATCTAGAACTAGAAATACCATTTGACCCAGCCATCCCATTACTGGGTATATACCCAAAGGACTATAAATCATGCTGCTATAAAGACACATGCACACGTATGTTTATTGTGGCACTATTCACAATAGCAAAGACTTGGAACCAACCCAAGTGTCCAACAACGATAGACTGGATTAAGAAAATGTGGCACATATACACCATGGAATACTATGCGGCCATAAAAAAGGATGAATTCATGTCCTTTGTAGGGACATGGATGAAACTGGAAATCATCATTCTCAGTAAACTATCACAAGGACAAAAAACCAAACACCGCCTGTTCTCACTCATAGGTGGGAATTGAACAATGAGAACACATGGACACAGGAAGGGGAACATCACTCTCTGGGGACTGTTGTGGGGTGGGGGGAGGGGGGAGGGATAGCATTAGGAGATATACCTAATGCTAAATGACAAGTTAATGGGTGCAGCACACCAGCATGGCACATGTATGAATATGTAACTAACCTGCACATTGTGCACATGTACCCTAAACTTAAAGTATAATAATAATAAAATAAAAAATAAAAAATAAAAAAAAAGAGATACAAAGTCTTTAGAAGTGGACTCTGTGCTTTGACTTTGTGTCATAGGCAGCCTTAAAAGCAATATTATTCTGTAACTAGTACTGGCACTTATGCTAGTTCTTGGATGATCAGACATACATTAGAAACACTCATGTGACAGCCAGTGACTGTTTCTGATATTTAGGTTTACATCTGCTTCTGCCCAGTAAGATGAATTTCATTTACATAGATTACAATAATTTGGAAATTTTCTTAATTATGTTGATGTTTACCTTTGTGCTAATGATAAAGAAATGGTTTGTTAGGCAAATTAATAGAGCAAAACCATTGTGAACGGTATGCTTAAGGTTTATGACTAATTCAAAGAAGAAATTACTTTCAGGCAATCTCAAGTAATTTAAAGGCATCATTTGCATATAAATACATGGGATGATAGGCTAATTACGATTGTTTTTATTTATTCATTGAACCTGTTTCCCAAAAGCATTATCTTAAACCACATTGTCATATTATATTATCTAGTTTCCTTGAAAGTAAAACAAGGAGGGGCTTTTTAACTTTTATTTTAAGTTGAGAGGTACATATGCAGGCTTGTTACATAGGTAAACTTGTGTCATGGGAGTTTGTTGTATAGACTATTTTGCCATCCAGGTATTAAACCTGGTAGATTTGTCACTAATTCTGCTTCCACCCAATGAATGAGGTTTGCCAGCAGTGTGTTCATCAGTCATGAAGCAACATCATCAGATCACAAAGTCAAAAGCTCAATTAAAAGTCTCAACATTTAAAAATTCCAGATTTTATAGAGTTGTGTTTTTTTAAAAAAAAAAAAGGAGTGTTTGCTGAGAATGATGGTTTCCAGCTTCATCCATGTCCCTACAAAGACATGAACTCATCATTTTTTATGGCTGCATAGTATTCCATGGTGTATATGTATCACATTTTCTTAATCCAGTCTATCATTGTTGGACATTTGGGTTGGTTCCAAGTCTTTGCTATTGTGAATAGTGCCGCAATAAACATAACGTGTGCATGTGTCTTTATAGCAGCATGATTTATGGACAAAAAACCAAACACTGCACGTTCTCACTCATAGGTGGGAATTGAACAATGAGAACACATGGACACAGAAAGGGGAACATCACACACCGGGGACTGTTGTGGGGTGGGGGGAGGGGGGAGGGATAGCATTAGGAGATATACCTAATGCTAAATGATGAGTTAATGGGTGCAGCACACCAACATGGCACATGTATACGTCAGCAACAAACCTGCACGTTGTGCACATGTACCCTAAAATTTAAAGTATAATAATAATAAAATAAAAAAGAGTGAGCACTGAAGGAATATTATTTTAGCCAGGCACTGCAGTCCCTTCATAAGCCACAGTAGTTTGAGAGGAGCCATCTCCATGTTATAGACTTGGGCAAAGCAAGCCTTTGAAGGGACCCCATGCCCTTAGGTGGTAGAGGACCAAGCATATAAAAAGTTGGCACTTTTTGATGAGTTTCTCCAAGTGTCTCATTTTCTGATCACTGATGTTTCCGTTGCTTATTTCACATTGCAAACTCTGGCATCTTTTTATCCTAATAAGAAATGTTAAAATACTCAGTTATGAATACTCAGTGTTATGAATACTCAGTGGATCTGTTCATCCTCCAATTATGATCCTGCCTCTACTTCAGCCAGGAGTCTTCCTTATTGTTTGAAGAAAGAACTTGAAGAACATCTTTAGTGTTTTCCCTAGTAATCAATGTATTGCTCTTAGTTTTTGTTAACTTTATGGCTAAAACTACATATAGCACGACCCTTTGGTACACAGATTCCGTGAATGAGCTTGCTACTAAGAACCGTTATTCATATCAATTTTTTTTTCCTTACAAACCCAATACAGATGGAAAATTGCAAGACATAGTGAAAACAATTATTGACTGGTACATTGGGATAGAATTAGAGAAACGGGAATTGGTTAGGCTTGCATAGGCCTGATCAGCATGTGCTATACGATTAGAAAGGCAATTCAGCTGTTTATGCTTGGCATAAACTCAATTTTGTGTTGTTACCTCCACCTTTAAACAGCCCAAAGATTTTCTGGTTCTGTTTCTCCAGAAACATTTCTTGTCTTCTGCAGGGATGTGGGTGGAGATTGGGTACCTTAAAGGTGAGAGTTTTATTGACAATGTGGAGTAATAACTTCTCTTCATATAGATTTTCAAACCACTTTATTTTCACTTACCTCATTGACTTTATCCTGTTCGATCTTTTATGATATCTGATGTTTCTAATTCTTTGGGCCTTTCCAAGATGCTACGGAGAAAAAAAAAAAAAAAGCTGCTTGCATTTTACAGTATCTCTCTCTACAAGCCCTTAGATTTGAATTTCTTCATTCTGATAAATCGGATGCTATTGCGCCACCCATTTCCATGTACTAGTATTTCAAAGTTGTGGACATTACCTAGAGTGTGTGTTTAGAGTATGTGTCTTTTTCTTCTTGTTTGTGTGTGATTTTCCATAGAAAAGAGAATTGAAACCTGAAGCTGAGCTTTGTTTTTTGATAATACCTGAAGCTAATGAAAATAGGAATGAGGAGAATGTCATTCCAGGAAGGGAGAGCAATATGGTTTTAATAGTTACTAAAAGTATATGTGTGATAGACAGAATAACATCTCACCCAAAAGATGCCAATATTCCTAATCCCCAGAACCTGTGAATATGTTACTTTATATGGCAAAAGGGAATTTACAGATATGATCAAGTTGAGGATCTTCAGATAGTAAAATTATCCTGCATTAGCCAGGTAGGCACGATGTAATCACAAGAGCCATTATAATGGGAAAAGAGAGGCAGGAGGGGAATTAGAGAAGGAAAGGACCAGAGGCAGAGGGCAGAGAAGAGCAAGACTGAAAAAGCCACACTGCTGACTTTAAAGATGAAGGAATGGCCCACAAGTCAAGGAATACAGGGGGCTTCTAGAAGCTGGAAAAGTCAAGGAACTGGATTCTCCTCTACAGCTTCCAGAAGAAATGCAGCCCTGACAAACCATTAGTAACTTCTGATCTCCGTAATTTTACTTGAATAAGTATTTGTTGTTTTGAGCTCTTAAGTTTGTGGTAATTCTTCACGGAAATAATAGGAAATTAAGGTGCTATATAGAGAGAATATGGGGAAAAGGGTAAATAAATAATGCAGTGACAGACAGTGAAGGGTCTGGTATGCCAAGTTAAGGAATGTAAATTTTATCCTGAATTGCAGTAATGACCATTTAAAAATTTTAAGCAGAAGGATTTTACAGTTAGTTGATTTTTTTTGTTCATTTTTACTTTATGACAACCACTCTAACAATAATTTGGATGGCAGATAAATTGGAAGGGCCAAAACCAGAAGTTGGTAAATCAGTTGGGAGACTATCTATAATCTAGTCAAGAAATGCTGTGTTCACAGGAAGATATAGAAGACCTGGACAGAATGATAACAAGTAATGATATTGAATCAGTAATAAAAAGTCTGCCAACAAAATCTAGGATTCCACGGCTTTACTGATGAATTCTACCAAACTTTTAAAGAAGAACTAACATCAATTCTTCTCAACCTATTCCAAGCAATTAAAGAGAATGGAATTTTTCACAACTCATTTTACAAGGCCAGCATTACTCTGATACCAAAACCAGAGAATGACACAATAGCAGTAACAACAACAATTACAGGCCAATATGTCTGATGAACAGAGTTGCAAAACTCTTCAGTAAAATACTAGCAAACTGAATCCAACAACACACCAAAAAGATTACACAACATGATAAAGTGGGATTTATCCCAGGAAAGCAAAAATGGTTCAACATATTCAAATCAATAAATGTGATATACCACATCTCACAGAATGAAAAAAACATAAGATTACTCAATAGATACAGTAAACGCATTTTCTAAAACTTAACATATCTTCATGATAAAAACTCCCAACAATTAAATATAGAAGGAACATACCTCAACACAATAAAGGTCATATATGACAAACCCACAGCAAACATCCTGCTAAATGGGGAAAAGATAAAAGCCTTTCCTCTAAAAATTGGAACAAGACAAATATGCTAACTTTCACTACTCTTATTCAACACATACTATAAGTTCTAGCCAGCACAATTAGGCAAGAGAAAGCAATGAACGGTATCCAAACTGGAAAAGAGGAAGTGAAACCATCCCTCTTCACAGGTGACACAATTATATATATATATATATATATATATATATATATATATATATATACCTAAAGACTTCACCAGTAAACTCTTAGAACTGATGAAGGAATTTAGTAAAACTTCAGGATACAAAATTAGCATACAAAAACCAATAGTGTTCCTGTACACCAATAATTAACTAGCTGAAAAAGAAATTTAAAAAGCAATCTCTTTTACAATAGCTACAAAAAGTACCTAACCAAGGAGGTAAAAAATCTCTACAAAGAAAACTATAAAACACTGATTTAAAAATTGAAGAGAACACAAAAAAATGAAAAAAATGAAAAGACATCTCATGTTCATGGAGTGAATTAATTTTTTTTTTTTTTTGAAATGGAATCTTGCTCCATCACCAGGCTGGAGTGCAGTGGCATGATCTCCACTCACTGCAAACTCCACCTCCTGGGTTCAAGTGATTCCCGTGCCTCAGCCTCCCGAGTAGCTGGGACTACAGGCGCCTGCCACCACGCCCAGCTAATTTTTTGTATTTTAGTAGAGAGGGGGTTTCACTGTGTTGGCCACGATGGTCTCAATCTCCTGAACTCGTGATCTGCCCGCCTTGGCATCCCAAAGTGCCTGGATTACAGGCATGAGCCACCGCACCTGGCCGTGAACTAATATTTTTAAAATGACCATACTACCCAAAGCAATTTACAGATTAAATGCAATCGCTGTGAAAATACCGGTGACATTCTTCACAGAAATAGGAAGAAAAATCCTAAAATTTGCATGTGACCACAAAAGACCGTGAATAGTCAAAGAAATTCTGAGCAAAAAATACGAAGGTGGAGGCATCACAGTATCTGATTTTAAAATTATTATATATGATAATAATATACAACTTTATTACATGAAGTTATCATAGCTTAAAAAGACTCATAGGACAATGCAACAGAATAGAGAACCCAGAAATAAATTTATGTATTTAAATCTAACTCATTTTAGACAAAGGTGCCAAGTGCATACATTGGGGAAAAGACACCCTCTTCAATAAATGGTGCTGGGAAAACTGAATATCCATATGTAGAAGAATGTTTCCAGACCCTTATGTCTCACCATGATTAAAAATGAACTCAAAATGGATTAAAGATTTAAGCATAATACTCAAAATTATAAAATTAATGAAAGAAAACATAGAGTAAATCCTTCTGGACATTGATCTAGGAAAAAATTTATGGCTAAGACTTGAAAAGAACAAACAATAAAAACAAAAAGACAAATGGAACTATATCAAATGTAAAAGCTTCTTTACAGCAAAGGAAACAACCAACAGAGTGAAGAGACAACTGGTAAATGGAAGGAAATATTTGCAAACTATTCATATGACAAGGGACTAATATCCAGAATATACATGGAACTTGAGCAACTTAACAGAAAAAAAAAAAACCTGCACAATTTTTATTATAAAATGGGCATAGTATCTGAATAGACATTTCTCAAAAGAAGACGTATAAATGGCCAAGTAGTGTATGAAAAAATGCTCAACATCACTAATCATTAGGGAAATGCAAATCAAAATGACAATGAGATATAATTTCACCCCAGCTAAAATTATTATTATCCAAAACACAAAAAAAAAAATGCTGGAGAAGCTAGAGAGAAAAGGGAACTCTTATACATTGTTGATGGGAATGTAAATTAGTACATCCATTATGGAAAACAGTATGAAGGTTTCTCAGAAAACTAAAAATAGAACTACCATATGACCCAGCTATTCCATTAGGTATTTATCCAAAGGAAAGGAGATCAGTATATCAAAGAGGCACCTACATCCTCATGTTTATTGCAGCACTGTTTCCAGTAGCCAAGATATGGAATCAACCTAAGTGTCTATCTAAACAGATGGCAATGTGGTATATACACACAATGAAATACTATCCAACCATTAAAAAGAATGAAATCTTGTCATTTGTGGCAACATGAATGAGCAAGGAGGGCATTATCTTAAATGAAATGCCAGGCACAGAAAAATAAATACCACATGTTCTCACTCATATGTGAGAGCTAATAACAAAACAAAATAAAACAAAAACTTGAGGTCTAAGAAGTAGAGAAGAGAATTGTGTTTATTAGCGGTGAGGAAGAGAGAGGGGAGGGGAGGATAGGGAGAGATTGGTTGATAGATACAAAGTTACAGCTAGATGGAAGGAATAAGTTTTAGTGTTCTGTAGGACAGTATAGTAAACATTTTTAACAATTTAGCGTATATTTTCAAAAAGCTAGAAGAGATTTTTGAATGTTTCCAACACAAAAAATAATGTCCAAGGTAATGGATGTGCTTATTACCCTGATTTGATCATTGCTCATTGTATACACTTATCAAAATATCGCTCTGTATCCCATAAATGTGTACAATTATTTTATGTCAAATAAAAATAAAAGGAAAAAAATAAATGCTATGTTCAAATGGAGAAAAGGTTATAAAGGTACGCTAAGGAAGTAAAATAACTGAGTGGATATGGAATCCTGAAAAAAGGCAGGATTCTAAATGACTAAAATTCTGCCACTGAAAGGATACTTTTTATTTTTCTTGAAAGGAAAGAACAGAATAGAAGGATTGGATTTGTTAGAAGTAGGAGTTCAATTTTATATATTCTGTTTTTGAGGTGCCTATAAGGGCTTCCAGTTAGAAAGATATTCAATAGAGTTGGATATATGGGAAATGAATTAGGCTTTACAAAAACCAAAGATATAAAATGGCAAAGAAGAAAGAGAAAGAATAATTTATAGAAATGTCCCACATATCTTTTAACCTCATTTATACCCATGAATTTAACCAATATTAATAAACGTAAGATTCCAGATATAAAGCTCTAGTCCTTATAGTTTACCTGAGCTGTTATCCCTACTCAGCTGTTTTCTGGAAAAGGCTGCTCTGACATTTAGAGGTATATGAAATCTTACCTTTCACCCATCCTGGTTAACAGTACACCACCACTTCAGTGTCAGAAAAGTCAATGTCATCTTCAACTCCTGCTCTCATTCTATTATCAAATCCATCATGAATTCCTGTCAGTTTTACTTCTCAAATATCTCTGAAATGTAACCCATCTATTCTATCTCCACTGCCATTTGTTTAGTTCAGATCCATATAACATCCTCTTACTCCTTAATAAGCATTTTTTCTTCCCAATCGATTCACGGCACTTGTAAGTAAGGTACTTGATGATATCATGGCCCCAACATGGTGTTTAACATCATATCTCCACAGAACATTTCTGAGGCAGGAAAGGGCCACCTGGTCTTCTCCCCTCTAATCAGAGAGCAAATGCCTTCATAGAAGCCCTACAGCTCTGAGCACCTTCTTGGCCAGAAACAAGTCACCTACTTACTCCTTCACCAACCACTGAAATAGGGAAGTGTTTAGACTAATCATAATTAATATTGTTAACTTAGCATGCTGCCTACTAAACAAAATCAGGCTTCTTTAAATGAAGGGAGGAAGGGGACAGTGGATAAGAAAATAGTTCTTAGGCAACCAAAATCTGCTTTATCTAGAAATCATGAAATAACAAGATGGTAGCATTAGTCCAGACTTTAGAGAGAGAGGGAGGGAGACAGGGAGAGAGAAATGCTTAAATACAATAGTTAAACAGTGACATGCATCTCTTCATTTTTAGGAATGTTTTTTCAATACTCACTCTGAAAGACATTTTTATATTGCTGAAAAAATATGTTTATTGAGATCCTAACAATTATATTTGCATAAAAACAGAGGAATGAATCAAGATAGTAATAATTTTTTTTATGTTTAAACATGAGAAAGGACACACACACACACACTCAGACACACACACACAGTTTGAATCTAAGCTCACCTAAATATAGACACCACCATTCTTCTCATGGCATACATCCAAAGGACAGGCATAGTGCATACAAATAATTACTTGATCTCCATATGACTAGTCGTGCATTTTTTATTTGTTTTAGAAACATAACCTAGCACATCCCGATTTGTGTTTATGTACGCTGCTACCATCTGCCCATTTAATGGCAATACAGCAATTATAAAACAATGGCCAATGGTATCCAAATAAAGGATAGATGGAGCACAGTGAAAATGGGAGAAAATGTCATGGCTTTTGAAAACACAGGTTTCAAATGTATCACCACTGTGGCACATTCTGAATGTTATCAGCTTCTCTATATATAATGGTTTCTTTACTTGGCTCTAAGCTGGAACTCAATTTATCTTTCTCAGCAATATGCTATCTTGTTAATTAGTTTACGTTTATGTAAAACATTGAATATGTTAACATTTTTGTATGTCGACTGTAAATAATAAACAACTATTATGCCAAAAGGTTAAGTTTTTTATTGCAAGTTAACAGTACAATCCACCAAATGTCTATTGCCCATGATCATTTTTCTTCATAAACATTTCTCCCAGGTTTGTTTATTCTAGGATTTATGCCGATAATGAGCTTTTGAATACTGATTTTATATGACACAGGGTCATATTTAAAAGCTTTTTATCAAAATAACGGGAGATGTAATTTTACATACATCTCATCAATACAGCTGTCTTTAATCTCTGGGGATAAATAGTGACAAATGAGGCTTAGTTTTTGACTTGTTTAGCTGCTGCTGAAACAGACTGGGTGTTTTAATGGAGCTTTTAAGTGGGTAATAGGTATGCAGTGAGCATTCTGAGGTGTGATAATGAGATCTATGTGTGGATGCGGCACTATATTTTTCACTGTGTTTCTGCACAAGAAAGTATTTGCAATTTATAAAAGAATCAGAAGTCTATTTACATGGCTACTGGGATGTGCTAAATTTCCTTATGCATTTAAATATCCCTATTTTCACACCCACTACAACCATTATTTAGTTTGCAGATTCATTAAACTGTATAATGTGTACGTATTAACTGCCAAAGAAATCATGTCAAATTAGGTGTGGATTTTTATTGCTTAAAAAAAAGTACACAATAATGCAACATACTTAAAAATGTTTGAATCACAAAATTGTTATGGTGACAAAAAAAAGGTTTGGATAAACATCTTTCATTCAAGCCTTCAAATTCATATATTTAATATTAATGTCTCCAATTACAGGAAACACTAGCTGTGATTTCAGCATTGGTTTGATGAAACCAAAACTGGATTCTCTAATTGCTGAAAAGTGACAGACCACATAAATGGCAACAACCCGAATACAGGAGTCCTGAAATTCTAGCCAATAGGCAGAAATTCTTACTCTTGCAAATCTCGGTGTGGTTAGTGGAAAAGAAAAGAGAGGAAGCAGAGATAAAAGTAAAAGGTTAGGTGCCATAACAATAAAGCATCTAGTTTCTTAATGAAGTCAACAACTGATTTCCTGCACATAAGCTAATTTGAAAGCATATATAAGAATGAGGAACTTTATAATGCCTTATATTATATTTCCTGGTACATGTACACTGTAGATTACAGGAATGTGGATTTAGGGAAACAGCATGGACTTTGGTGAAGACAACTCTGAACCTACCATATATCTGTCACTTCCTGGCCATACAATTGTGGCCAGACTATGTATCATCTTTATTCTCAGCTGTCTCATTATTAAAATGTGTTGGGGGGTGCACTTCTGATTCAAATGATGAGGTGACTTCAGAGTCCTATGGAGTCAAGATATTCTGAAGGCCCCTCTAAAGAGTAAGCGACTGGATCTTGTTTGTATTTATACACTTTCTAAGGCATTGCTGGACTTATAACAATAAAATAAAAAATTAGTAACCACCCCTAAGTTTTTTTTAATAGTGCTAAAATCAAAAAGTTTAGTTGGCCCTGTACAAATTCCAGTAAAAGGGCTGCTATCAGAAGACAATACCTTAGATCAGCTATGAAGTGGGGAGGCTGAAACTAAGAATCTTGTATTAGGTTAAGAATTTTCTTTTTTTTTTTTCCTAGACAATGGCTACACCTTTATTGAGCATGTATGATATACTAAACACTTTGATATTAATAATTCCTCAGTAAGGAGTAAATAAGCTGTGAGGAAATAAGCCATTATTATTATTATTCTCTCTCTTTTTTTTATTACTGTACTTTAAGTTTTAGAGTACATGTGCACAACGTGCAGGCCAGTTACATATGCATACATGTGCCATGCTGGTGTGCTGCACCCACCAACTCGTCATTTAGCATTAGGTATATCTCCCAATGCCATCCCTCCCCCCTCCCCCCACCCCACAACAGTCCCCAGAGTGTGATGTTCCCCTTCCTGTGTCCATGTGTTCTCATTGTTCAATTCTCATCTATGAGTGAGAACATGCGGTGTTTGGTTTTTTGTCCTTGAGGTAGTTTGGGTGATTGGAATGATGATTTCCAATTTCATCCATGTCCCTACAAAGGACATGAACTTATCATTTTTTATGGCTGCATAGTATTCCGTGGTGTATATGTGCCACATTTTCTTAATCCAGTCTATCATTGTTGGACATTTGGGTTGGTTCCAAGTCTTTGCTATTGTGAATAGTGCCGCAATAAACATACGAAACACCAAAAGCAATGGCAGCAAAAGCCAAAATTGACAAATGGGATCTAATTAAACTAAAGAGCTTCTGCACAGCAAAAGAAACTACCATCAGAGTGAACAGGCAACCTACAAAATGGGAGAAAATTTTCGCAACCTACTCATCTGACAAAGGGCTAATATCCAGAATCTACAATGAACACAAACAAATTTACAAGAAAAAAACAAACAACCCCATCAAAAAGTGGGCAAAGGATATGAACAGACACTTCTCAAAAGAAGACATTTATGCAGCCAAAAGACACATGAAAAAATGCTCATCATCACTGGCCACCAGAGAAATGCAAATCAAAACCACAATGAGATACTATCTCACACCAGTTAGAATGGCATTCATTAAAAAGTCAGGAAACAACAGGTGCTGGAGAGGATGTGGAGAAATAGGAACACTTTTACACTGTTGGTGGGACTGTAAACTAGTTCAACCATTGTGGAAGTCAGTGTGGTGATTCCTCAGGGATCTAGAACTAGAAATACCATTTGACCCGGCCATCCCATTACTGGGTATATACCCAAAGGACTGTAAATCATGCTGCTATAAAGAATTTTCAAAGAGGGCTAAAATGGCCACACATTGGGTAGTGGCATGAGGTTTTTGGCAAGAGCAAGTGTAGATACTTTCTGAAGGAATGCACATCAGATATAGGTCCTCCTGATTTCCATAAACCAAGATAAAACAAATATGAGCTCACACACAAAGATAACAAAATAGGAAGCTGCTTCTGCAATTATAAGAGCAGTAGGAAAAGAAAGCCTCATGGAGGTGCATTAGTAAAGAAAACAATTTCAAACTCATTTTGAGGCCAGCATTAAGTTTATAATAAAACCAGAAAAAGACATTACAAGAAAAGAAAACCATAAACTGATATCCCTGAACAGTGACTAAAAAATCCTTAACAAAACATTAGCAAATTAAATTCAACAATATATTTTATATATATAAATATATATTTATATATATATTTATTCTATATATATATTTAATTAATAGCAAATTAAATTCAACTATATATATATATAGGATAATACATCATGTGCAAATGGGTGGCCATATTAACAGATTGAGTGAGAAAATTCTTATGATTATTTCCACAGACATAGACAAAGCATTTGCCAAAATTCAGCATTTATTTATGATTCAAACACAACAAATTAGAAATAGGAAGATGTTTTCTTAACAGGATAAAGGACATCTCTTTTTTAAAAAGACACCTATAACTAACATCATACTTAATGGTAAGAGGCTGAACATTTTCCCCTAGGATTGAGAAGGAGGCAAAGATGTACTCTTATCACCCCTAATCAATACAGTACTGCTAATATTGCCCAGTGAAATAAAACAAGAAATTAAAATAAAAGCCTTACAGATTAGATAGGAAAACTGTCTGTATTCACAGAGGACATGCTTACCTATGTAGAGAATTTCAGACAATCTACAAAAATAGCTCCAAAAACATGAGGGAGTTTAGCAAGTTTGTACAATACAACATTGATAAATTAAAATGTCACATTTTCATTATATATGTATCATTGGATAAAGTCAGTCATATTTCCAAATACTAGCAATGAAAGCTCAGAATTTGAGACTAAAAAAAATCACTTCAAACAGTATTGAAGGAAAGAAATGAAATAAAAATCTAAGAAGATATGTCCAGAATTTATATACTGAAAAATATAAAATCCTGTTGGAATAAAAAATACAGATATAAATGGTGGACATACCATATTTATGAATTGGAAGACTCAATATAGTTAGCATGTCACTTCATCTCAATTTTATCTTTTGATTCTATACAGTCCCAAACAAAATTTCAAAAAATCCCCCCCAAATTTCAACATCCAAAAAAATGTATAAGTCTCTTTGTAGGTCTCTAAGAACTTGCTTTATGAATCTGGGTGCCCCTGTATTGGGTGCATATATATTTATGATGGTTAGCTCTTCTTGTTGCATTGATCCCTTTACCATTATGTAATGCCTTTCTTTGTCTTTTTTATCTTTGTTGGTTTAAAGTCTGTTTTATCAGCGACTCAGATTGCAACCACTGCTTTTTTTGTTTGTTTGTTTTTCTTTTGCTTGGTAAATATTCCTCCATCCCTTTATTTTGAGCCATGTGTGCCTTTGCAAGTGAGATGGCTTTCCGGAATATAGCACACTGATGGGTCTTGACTCTTTATCCAATTTGCCAGTCTGTGTCTTTTAATTGGGGCATTTATATCATTTACATTTAAGGTTAATATTGTTATGTGTGAATTATATCCTGTCATTTTGATGCTAGCTGGTTATTTTGCCCGTTAGTTGATGCAGTTTCTTCATAGTGTTGATGGTGTTTACAATTCGGTATGTTTTTGTAGTTGCTGGTACCGGTTGTTCCTTTCCATGTTTAATGCTTCCTTTGGGAGCTCTTGTAAGGCAGGCCTGGTGGTGACAAAATCTCTCAGCATTTGCTTGCCTGTAAAGGATTTTATTTCTCCTTCCCTTTTGAAGCTTAGTATGGCTGGATATGAAATTCTGGGTTGAAAATTATTTAAGACTGTTGAATATTGGCCCCCTCTCTCTTCAGTGAATCCAGGAGCTGGGTTTCGAGAAGATTACCAAAATAGATAGACCGCTAGCCAGACTAATAAGGAAGAAAAGAGAGAAGAATCAAATAGACACAATAAAAAAATGATAAAGGGGATATCACCACTATCCCAAAGAAATAGAAACTACCATCAGAGAATACTACATACACCTCTATGCAAATAAACTAGAAAATCTAGAAGAAATGGATAAATTCCTGGACACATACACCCTCCCAAGACTAAACCAGGAAGAAGTCAAATCCCTTAATAGACCAATAACAAGTTCTGAAATTGAGGCAATAATTAATAGCCTACCAACCAAAAATGCCCAGGACTAGGCGGATTCACATCCGAATTCTACCAGAGGTACAAAGAGGAGCTGGTACCATTCCTTCTGAAATGATTCCAAATGATAGAAAAAGAGGGACTCCTCCCTAACTCATTAGCATCATACTGATACCAAAACCTGGCAGAGACACAACAAAAAAAGAAAATTTCAGGCCAATATCCCTGATGAACATCAATGTGAAAATCTTCCATAAAATTCTGGCAAATCAAATCCAACAGAACATCAAAAAGTTTATCCACCATGATTAAGTTGGATTCATCCCTGGGATGCAAGGCTGGTTCAATATACGCAAATCAATAAACATAATCTATCACATAAACAGAACCAATGACAAAAACCACATTTTATCTCAATAGATGCAGAAAAGGCCTTTGATAAAATTCAGCAGCCTTTCATGATAAAAACTCTCAGTAAACTAGGTATTGATGGAATGTATCTCAAAATAGTAACACCTATTTATGACAAACCCACAGCCAATATCACACTGAATGGGCAAAAGCTGGAACATTTCCTTTGAAAACTGGCACAAGACAAGGGTGCCTTCTCTCACCACTCCTACTCAATATAGTATTGGAAGTTCTGGCCAGGGCAATCAGGCAAGAGAAAGAAATGAAGGTATTCAAATAGGAGGAGAGGAAGTCAAATTGTCTCTGTTTGCAGATGACATGAATGTATATTTAGAAAACTCCTTCGTTTCATCCCAAAATTTCCTTAAGCTGATAAGCAACTTCAGCAAAGTCTCAGGATACAAAATCAATGTGCAAAAATCACAAGCATTCCTATTAACCAATAATAGACAAACAGAGGGACAAATCATGAATGAACTCCCATTCACAATTGCTACAAAGAGAATAAAATACCTAGGAATACAACTTTCAAGGGATGTGAAGGACCTCTTCAAAGAGAACTACAAACTACTTCTCAAGGAAATAAGAGAGGACACAAACAAATGGAAAAACATTCCATGCTCATGGATAGGAAGAATCAATATCGTGAAAATGCCCATACTGCCCAAAGTAATGTATAGATTCAATGCTATCCCCATCAAGCTACCATTGACTTTCTTCACAGAATTAGAAAAAAACTACTTTAAATTTCTGATGGAACCAAAAAAGAGCCTGTATAGCCAAGACAATCCTAACCAAAAAGAACAAAGCTGGAGGCATCACGCTACCTGACTTCAAACTATACCACAAGCCTACAGTAACCAAAACAGCATGGTACTGATAACAAAGCAGATATATAGACCAATGGAATTGAACAAAGGCCTCAGAAATAATGCCACACATTTACAACCATCTGATCTTTGACAAACCTGACAAAAATAAGCATTGGGGAAAGGATTTCCTATTTAATAAATGGTGTTGGGAAAACTGGCTAGCCATATGCAGAAAACTGAAACTGGACCCCTTCCTTACACCTTTACAAAAATTAACTCAAGATGGATTAAAGACTTAAATGTAAGACCTAAAATCATAAAAACCCTAGAAGAAAACCTAGGCAATACCATTCAGGACATAGGCATGGGCAAGGACTTCATGACTACAACACCAAAAGCAATGGCAGCAAAAGTCAAAATAGACAAATGGGATCTAATTAAACTAAAGAGATTCTGCACAGCAAAAGAAACTACCATCAGAGTGAACAGGCAACCTACAGAATGGGAGAAAAAATTTGCAATGTATCCATCTGACAAAGGGCTAATATCCAGAATCTATAAGGAGCTTAAGTAAATTTACAAGAAAACAAACAAACAACCCCATCAAAAAGTAGGCAAAGGATATGAACAGACACTTCTCAAAAGAAGACATTTATGTGGCCAACAAACATATGAAAAAAAAAGCTAATCATCACTGGTCATTAGAGAAATGCACATGAAAACCACAACGAGATAACATCTCATGCCAGTTAGAATGGCAATCATTAAAAAGTCAGGAAACGACAGATGCTGAAGAAGTTGTGGAGAAATAGGAATGCTTTTACACTGTTGATGGGAGTGTAAATTAGTTCAACCATGGTGGAAGACAGTGTGGCGATTCCTCAAGGATCTAGAGCCAGAAATACTTTTTGAACCAGCAATCCCATTACTGGATACATACCCAAAGGATTATAAATCATTCTACTATAAAGACATATGCACATGTATGTTTACTGCAGCACTATTCACAATAGCAAAGTCTTGGAACCAACCCAAATGCCCATCAGTGATAGACTGGATAAAGAAAAAGTGGCACATATATACCATGGAATACTATGCAGCCATAAAAAAGGATGAGTTCATGCCCTTTGCAGGGCCATGGATGAGGCTGGAAACCATCATTCTCAGCAGACTAACACAGGAACAGAAAACCAAACACTGCATGTTCTCACTCATAAGTGGAGGTTGAACAATGAGACAACATGGACACAGGGAGGGGAACATCACACATTGAGGCCTATGAAGAGGTCGGGGGAGAGGCGAGGGATAGCATTAGGAGAAATACCTAATGTAGATGATGGGTTGATGGGTGCAGCAAACCACCATGGCACTTGTATACCTACGTAACAAACCTGCACATTCTGCACATGTATCCCAGAACTTAAAGTATTTTTTTAAAAAATATATAGACAAGCTAATTCTAAAATTTACATGGAAAAGCAAAAGTACTACAATGGCCTAGTAAATTTTGAAAAGAGGAATACAGTTGGTGGACCCATGCTACTCAATTTTAAAAGTTAGTAAAAAGCTGCAAAATCAGGACAGTTTGTTGTGATTAAAGGACAGATAGTAGGTCAATGGAACATAATAGAGATGCCAGCAATAGATGACACATAAATGACAAGCTTATTTTGACAAAAATGCAAAGAAAATGCAATGGGGGAAAAAGGTAAAATCTGTAGTGTAATTTCTTAAATTACAGCAGAGAACAAATATGAAAACATAAAATAGAGGTTGGAGAATAGAATAGAGGTCTAACATATGTCCAATCATAATTGCAGAAGAGATGAGAGGAAATGGTGAGAATAAATATATGAAAAGTTAATAGTATTTTATACTTAGAAAAAATAAGAATGTGCAAGTATAGACAAATCTATTACAAATATCAAGCAGACTAAGTCAAAAGACACCTACTTGTTAGTGAAACTATAGGATATTAAATTTAAAAGTGGATATCTTAAAAGCAGCTGGTACTGGTACCAAAACAGATAAATAGACCAATGGAACAGAACAAAGGCCTCAGAAATAACACCACACATCTACAACCATCTGATCTTTGACAAACCTGACAAAAACAAGCAATGGGGAAAGGATTCCCTATTTAATAAATGGTGTTGGGAAAATTGGCTAGCCATACGCAGAAAGCTGAAACTGTGCCCCTTCCATACACCTTTACAAAAATTAACTCAAGATGGATTAAAGACTTAAATGTAAGACCTAAAACCATTAAAAATCCCTAGAAGAAAACCTAGGCAATACCATTCAGGACATAGACATGGGGAAGGACTTCATGACTAAAACACCAAAAGCAATGGCAACAAAAGCCAAAATTGACAAATGGGACCTAATTAAACTAAAGAGCTTCTGCACAGCAAAAGAAACTACCATCAGAGTGAATAGGCAACCTACAGAATGGGAGAAAATTTTTGCAATCTACTCATCTGACAAAGGGCTAATATCCAGAATCTACAAAGAACTTAACCAAATTTACAAGAAAAAAAAAACAACCCCATCAAAAAGTGGGTGAAGGATATGAACAGACATTTCTCAAAAGAAGACATTTATGTGGCCAACAAACATATGAAAAAAAGCTCATCATCGCTGGCCATCAGAGAAATGCAAATCAAAACCACAATGAGATACCATCTCACACCAGTTAGAATGGCAATCATTAAAAAGTCAGGAAACAACAGATGCTGGAGAGGATGTGGAAAAATAGGAATGCTTTTACACTGTTGGTGGGAGTGTAAATTAGTTCAACCATTGTGGAATACAGTGTGGCAATTCCTCAAGGATCTAGAACCAGAAATACCATTTGACCCAGCAATCCCATTACTGGGTACATACACAAAGGATTATAAATCATTCTACTATAAAGACACATACACACGTATGTTTATTGTGGCACTGTTCACAATAGCAAAGACTTGGAACCAACCCAAGTGCCCATCAGTGATAGACTGGATAAAGAAAATGTGGGACATATATACCATGGAATATTACACAGCCATAAAAAAGGATGAGTTCATATCCTTTGCAGGGACATGGATGAAACTGGAAACCATCATTCTCAGCAAAGTAACACAGGAACAGAAAACCAGACACCACATGTTCTCACTCATAAGTGGGAGTTGAACAATGAGAACACATGGACACAGTTGGAAGGGGGAGGTGGCATCACACACTGGGTCCTCTTTGGGGGTTGGGGGCTGGGGGAGGGATAGTATTAGGAGAAATACGTAATGTAGATGATGGGTTGATGGGTGCAGCAAACCACCATGACACGTGTATACCTATGTAACAAACCTGCACATTCTGCACATGTATCCCAGAACTTAAAGTATAATAAAAAAAAAAGAAGAGGAAGAGGAAGAAGATGAACAAGAATAAGAAGAGGAAGAGGAAGAAGGAGAAGAAGAAGAAGAAGAAGAAGAAGAAGAAGAAGAAGAAGAAGAAGAAGAAGAAGGCAGCAGCTGGAGATAAAAGGTCACACAAAGAACAATTTGTGTAACATAAAACCTCTTGACTGTGACAATGGAAGCAAAAAAAAAAAACAGTAGAACAATTTATTCGAAGTGGAGTGTTAAGAAAAAAATGGCTCTCTTGGGAGGCCAAGGTGGGCAGATCACGAGGTCAGGAGATCAAGACCATCCTGGCAAACATGGTGAATCCCCGTCTCTACTAAAAATACAAAAATTAGTTGGGCGTGGTGGTGTGTGCTTGTAATCCCAGCTACTTGGGAGGCTGAGGCAGGAGAATCACTTGAATCTGGGAGGTGGAAGTTGCAGTGAGCCGAGATCGCAGCACTGCATGCCGACCTGGCAACAGAGTGAGACTCCATCAAGAAAGAAAGAAAGAGAGAAAGAGAGAGAAAGAAAGAGAGACTCGCAACTATCTGGTTGACATAACTGGCTGCCACTCATTTTGTTCCATGATGCAGCAACAAATGATTGTTCCAAAACTGCAGATTATAGCAGCAAAGCTTTATTTTTTTTGCCTGTATTACATAGGGGCTTAGTAAGCTATCAGTGCACTAGCTCTAGATCATGTTTTGTCTTTATGGCATCTAGACTATAGGAGTAATCCCAATTTGGAACATGTGTTTCTTATGACAAAAGGAAAGGAACAAGGGCAGAATAATGTAATGACCCTTAAACTTCTGTGAGACCTGGCACACATCACTTTTGCTCACATTTCTATGGGCCAACCTAAGTTTTGAAGACAAGATGGATACCTGTGTGGTAGGGAAGTATACTCCTCCCACAGAGAAAGAAAGCAAATTATATGGCAATGAGCAGGGATATAAAATATTCTTATAGGGAGCGGAGCAAATAATTAGAAAAAATAATATAGTGTGTTACAATTCAGTATTGTGTACCTAGACAGTTCTTATCTTTCAAGAACACAGCAAAATAAATCATTTTCAGATAAATAAAAGTGAAGGATTTTACCACTCACAAATCTTCACAAAAGGAAATTCTGAGGATTGTACTTGCGAAGGGAAGGAAAATACTTATAGAAAGAAGGTCTAAAATGCAAAAATGAATGGTGAACAAATAAATTTAGATATGTGACAAAATCTAACATTATAAAAAACAATAAGAAGTCTAAATTGTAGTATGAAAACAAAACAATAGAATTTGTGTGTGTGAGCGTGTGTGTGTGTGTATACAAATCCAGAAAAAATCATTCTTTGCTAACTTCTGTGAATGCCCATCTCTTCTGTCTTCTCTCAGTACACATCTTAAATCCCTGGCTTCACTAGCTAACTCCTAGTCTACTAATTATTTTAGGATTTTTTCTAATTTCTAATCTAATTTTTAAAAACCATCTAAGATTAACCCCATTAGAAGTCTAGACTGGATTGTTTCACTGTTTGTCTAGCACTCTGCCATAGTATCCTATTATAAAAAGTTATCAAACTGGGCTATTATGGTCTGTTCATTATTCTATCTCTCACACTAAAGTGTGGATCAAGATCTTTGGCATTTTTATGATGTATTTCATGCATTTAGCACAATGATTGTAGACCCCCAAATAAATATTTATTGAATGACAGAAGGAACTGAATGTAGGATAAAAAGATATAGTTCTTTTCCTTTTGGAATTGAATATTTTTAACATTTATTAATATATCTCTAAAGGCGAGCAAATGCCATTTATTGTTTTATACACTTCCAGTGAATTCAGTTATGTTCACTAATTTATAGGTTGTCATAACTTTTCCTGAGAAGCAGAGAAAAGAGGGAAATTACTATCAGTTTATAGATAAGATCACTGAAGCTCAAAGCAGGTAATATCTCTTTCGTAAGGTAGTGCTACCATTCAGATCCAAATGTCTTTTTAAAAAATCAACATTCAGTACATAAAAATGATTCTTTCAAAGTCTCAAAACTATAGTTCCTTATGTGGCATGAATAGAAAAAATAGCTCTATAATTATTATAAAGAATAATAAAACAATGTGAAATGCAAATGACATCATTAGCTGAAATCCATAAAGCTAATATTACTTAAAAAACAAGTGTTTTAATTTTTCAAAAAAACAACACACAAACTGAAAACATCATTTTCCAGAATTTGTTTTTTCTTCTTTCTCTGTCCAAATATATTGAAGTGTTGAGAAACTGGTGGGTAATTGTTTTATCATTCATTCTGAACTCCACCCAGTGCAGACTGCCTACATTCAAGCCAATTATCCTCATAAAATTAATTTCAGGCCGGGTGCACTGGCCCACACCTATAATCCCAGCACTTTGAGAGGCCGAAGCAGGCGGATCACGAGGTCAGGAGTTCAAGACCAGCCTGGCCAATATGGTGAAACCCTGTCTCTACTAAAAAATGCAAAAATTGTAGATATGCAGCGTTATTTCTGAGGGCTCTGTTCTGTTCCATTGATCTATATCTCTGTTTTGGTACAAGTACCATGCTGTTTTGGTTACTGTAGACTTGTAGTATAGTTTGAAGTCAGGTAGTGTGATGCCTCCAGCTTTGTTCTTTTGGCTTAGGATTGACTTGGCGATGCGGGCTCTTTTTTGGTTCCATATGAACTTTAAAGTAGTTTTTTCCAATTCTGTGAAGAAAGTCATTGGTAGCTTGATGGGGATGCCATTGAATCTGTAAATTACCTTGGGCAGTATGGCCATTTTCACAATATTGATTCTTCCTACCCATGAGCATGGAATGTTCTTCCATTTGTTTGTATCCTCTTTTATTTCCTTGAGCAGTGGTTTGTAGTTCTCCTTGAAGAGGTCCTTCACATCCCTTGTAAGTTGGATTCCTAGGTATTTTATTCTCTTTGTAGCAATTGTGAATGGGAGTTCACTCATGATTTGGCTCTCTGTTTGTCTGTTGTTGGTGTATAAGAATGCTTGTGATTTTTGTACATTGATTTTGTATCCTGAGACTTTGCTGAAGTTGCTTATCAGCTTAAGGAGATTTTGGGCTGAGACAATGGGGTTTTCTAGATATACAACAAACCTGAGAAAAACAAGCAATGGGGAAAGGATTCCCTATTAATAAATGGTGCTGGGAAAACTGGCTAGCCATATGTAGAAGGCCGAAACTGGATCCCTTCCTTACACCTTACACAAAAATCAATTCAAGATGGATTAAAGACTTAAACGTTAGACCTAAAACCATAAAAACCCTAGAAGAAAACCTAGGCATTACCATTCAGGACATAGGCATGGGCAAGGACTTCATGTCTAAAACACCAAAAGCAATGGCAACAAAAGACAAAATTGACAAATGGGATCTAATTAAACTAAAGAGCTTCTGCACAGCAAAAGAAACTACCATCAGAGCGAACAGGAAACCTACAGAATGGGAGAAAATTTTCGCAACCTACTCATCTGACAAAGGGCTAATATCCAGAATCTACAATGAACTCAAACAAATTTACAAGAAAAAAACAAACAACCCCATCAAAAAGTGGGCGAAGGACATGAACAGACACTTCCCAAAAGAAGACATTTATGCAGCCAAAAAACACATGAAAAAATGCTCATCATCACTGGCCATCAGAGAAATGCAAATCAAAACCACAATGAGATACCATCTCACACCAGTTAGAATGGCGATCATTAAGAAGTCAGGAAACAAGAGGTGCTGGAGAGGATGTGGAGAAATAGGAACACTTTTACACTGTTGGTGGGACTGTAAACTAGTTCAGCCATTGTGGAAGTCAGTGTGGCGATTCCTCAGGGATCTAGAACTGGAAATACCATTTGACCCAGCCATCCCATTACTGGCTATATACCCAAAGGACTATAAATCATGCTGCTATAAAGACACATGCACACGTATGTTTATTGTGGCATTATTCACAATAGCAAAGACTTGGAACCAACCCAAATGTCCAACAATGATAGACTGGATTAAGAAAATGTGGCACATATACACCATGGAATACTATGCAGCCATAAAAAATGATGAGTTCATGTCCTTTATAGGGACATGGATGAAATTGGAAATCATCATTCTCAGTAAACTATCGCAAGAACAAAAAAACCAAACACCGCATATTCTCACTCATAGGTGGGAACTGAACAATGAGATCACACGGACACAGGAAGGGGAATATCACACTCTGGGGACTGTTGTGGGGTCGGGGGAGGGGGGAGGGATAGCATTGGGAGATATACCTAATGCTAGGTGACGAGTTAGTGGGTGCAGTGCACCAGCATGGCACATGTATACATAAGTAACTAACCTGCACAATGTGCACATGTACCCTAAAACTTAAAGTATAATTTTAAAAAAATGCAAAAATTAACTGGGCATGGTGGCACGCACCTGTAATCCCAGCTACTCAGGAGGCTGAGGCAGGAGAATCACTGGAACCTGGGAGGTGGAGGTTTCAGTGAGCCGAGATTGCACCACTGCACTCCAGCCTGGGCGACAGAGCAAGACTCCATCTTAAAAAAAAAAAATTAATTTCAGATTGATGTTGGTTTACTGTTTCAAGAACATTTAATTGAATATTTTAAATAAGACAGATAAAGTATTTTTATAAATAGGTAATAACACTGATATTAGTAAACTGTAAAAAATCAGCCTGCATAGATGCCTCCAGAGTCTGACATCAGAGTAATAGTTCCATTTTATGAATTTACCATTTTGTTTTCTATTTGTAGCACAAGAAACATTATACCAACAATGAAAGAAATAAATAAAAAAGAAAAATATCTCACAATCCCAACTCACTAACAAATCCTTTGTTTTCATTTTTTATGTTCTTTGGGTCATAAGGAAACATGTTTTATGTGTTTGAAAGTATACTGTTCATTGTAATGTTTTTTCACTTGACATTACGTTATAAACATTTTTTACATTGTTATTTTTCACAATAAGTCTTTTAAATTAATGGTTTATAGTCTGCAAATTTATATTTGGTGGTTTACTGAACCATTTCTTAGTTTTCAAACATGAAGCTGCTTTCCATTTTTTACTACTACAAATGATTTAGTAATGAGCATTTTTACATGTGTTTTTCCTTTTTCCCTAAAAATAATATGAAGTCTCAACAATAGCAACAACAGATCAAAAAAGGAACAATTTCAAGTTTTTGCTATTTTGTTTTTAAAAGATGACTACAACTTATACTCTCAGTAGCTTACATGAATGCACCCATTTCAACACAAGCTCACTTGTACATATATGCTAATTTAATAATTGTAAAAAAAACACCATTTGATTTTACATCTTTAATAAATAATCACATTGGTTGGGCGTGGTGGTTCACGCCTGTAATCCCAGCACTTTGGGAGGCCGAGGCAGGTGGATCACCTGAGGTCGGAAGTTTGAGACCAGCCTGACCAACATGGAGAAACCCTGTCCCTACTAAAACTACAAAATTAGCTGGGCGTGGTGGCACATGCCTGTAATTCCAGCTACTCGGGGGGCTGAGGCAGGAGAATCGCTTGAACCCGGGAGGCAGCGGTTGCCCTGTGCCGAGATCGCACCATTACACTCCAGCCTGGGCAACAAGAGTGAAACTCCATCTAAAATAAATAAATAAATAATCACATTAAATTTTGTGCCCTAAGTGGCTGTTTGTACATGAACTCGTTGTTGCCCTGATAGAAGGACTGTTAAGACAATGATGAGGTCACAAAAGAAGCTGGTAATCCTCTGCGGGAGAAATGATCCTACCCTCCTTTAGCCACTTTGCAATTGCTGTTTCATTCTTCAACTGTGTCTGAAAGGGAGTCATGTTATGCTTTATTCCTACCACAAAATCACTCATTCAGTATTTTCTGATGTTGGAACATGATGTGTGTCATTTTGCATCTCACCTTATGGAGAAAGTATGGATACCAATTCAGATAGGGAAGGGGTAGCTGCAGTCTCCATAATTGTATAATTACATCATTATTTCTATTTGACAAATAATCTAAGAAATCATATAAGTAAAATATGAAAATTTTGCACTTAGGAGTACCACTGAATTTATTCATAATTGTGTCCATCTTTAAGGCCAGGATTAACACTTTGATTCTCAGGGGACTTTTTAAACGTATTTTGTAAAAATTGCTACTATGTGTTTAGTATCTGCTACATGCCAGACATTTCTTCACATGGTATAGCTAATTATCCCAGCAATCCTATAAAATAAATATTCATCATCTCCATTTTACAAGTAAGGAAATTGAGACTCAGAGGTTAAGTATCTTGCCCAGGTCCATTCAGTACACTCCTAGGCTGAATTTCATGTTTAATGTTTTCTCTCTTTAACATCTGTGATCTGTCACTTATTTAATTATTTAATTCAAAGGTTAAGTATATTTTCTTCTCTAAATTCACAAATTTCTATTGTAAATTTACGTTGACAGGAATATAATTTAACCCAGAACATTAATAAACTATAATCTAAGTAATTAAAATGCTCAACCAATAATTGTTTCTGATCTCAAACTAAGAAAGCTTTCTCTTTACATAAATTTTCACCTGGATGAAAGAAATCCCAGGGTAAATGAAATTCACTTTCTGGGCCCAATGCTATGTTATACCAACTGTGCTTTTCTGGACAATAGGCTCACTTGCCATTCTTTGAACATAATTTTTACCTTCATCCTTCTGCACCTCAGCTCATTTTCAACTGCAAATCTCCTTCTCCAGTTATTAAGGGGCCAATCCAAAGGGCACCTTCCTTATGACAGCTTTCTTAGTCACTTCAAAGTAACTCCTCTCTCTGGAACAGCCATATGACTTTGTTCTATATTCCTCTACATCATTATTTGTATTCTATGCAGTAAATGGAAAGAACGTGGGCTTTAAAGTTGTCTAGGTGACTCAATATTCTGCTCTAATCTAAATTGTCACTTTCTTAAAGATCAATGTGTCAGCTATTTCTGTGTAACAAATCACCCCAAAATTTAGTGGCTTAAAACAATAAGCATTTCTTATTGCTCTTAAATCTATGAACAAGCTAAGTGGTTGGCTGGCAATAAGATGATCTAACCTAGGATGGTCTCAGCTAGGACAGCTGGGCTCATTTCCACGTAACTTATCCATTTCCAACAAGATGGCCTTAGTTTTTTCCACATGGAAGTGACAGAGTTTCAAGAGGAAACAAGTAGAAGACCTCTTAGGGCCTAAGCAAAGAGACTGAGAGACAGAGAGAGAGACAGAGACTGACTCACTTCTTCCTTCACATTCTCTAATCACGAGTGCAGCTCAAATTCAAGTGGTAGGAGAATAGACTCCACCTCTTTATGGGAGAAGCTTTCAAAATCAGCATAATGGAGTATCTACATTTCAGAGTTATAAAATCAATAGGAAATTTTATTACAAAGTCCTTAGCAAGTGTTTTTAATATAATCTATACTCAATATATGCTAAATTATATATCCCTTATGTATCTTTGCCCCTCATATCTTACATGTATAGTAGGTCTATTAGCATTACCAAAATAATAGATTGTAGCAATATATATTTTGGAATACTCTTGGAAAACAGATTTTGAAAAACATTTTAATACAAATATGCAATCAAATAGGTACATTACTTCCTGAAAATTATAATTAATTCAAGTTCTAGAAAATATATAGAAAATAAATACTGATGCTAAAAGCCAAGACAAATTTAACCATTTTTCTTCAAAGTCCTCAGTTTCTCAATTAATATTTTTGTGTCATATGAAAAGTGGGAATTTTAAAAGGAGGTATCTGATCATACTCAATATATAATTTGTGCAGGGCCATTATTTTTGGCAATAGATTTTATTTTGTGGGAGTAAAATCAAGTATATAAATTCTGCATCACATGCTGGGAAAAAATCAGTATAGCTACACATTTCTCATGCTTCAAGGATTTTTAGTAGAAATCTATAGGAACATAGTAGAAATCTATAGGAACATAACACCTTTGAACTTCACAGCCTCAATGTATCTTAGACAGACATGATGAGAATGCATTCCCATGAGTTTTACTTGCTGAAGTAAAACTCGTGTAGTGTTTAGCAGCCAAACAAATGTGCTGATTTTATTTACAGTTTTAGAACCTACCTTTTCTTTTCAAAGAGCCTTTAAATAATAATCTGCCTAAACCAAATGTCCACTTTAGAAATGGGTAAATTAGAGCAAATTGAATATACCTGTGTTGTACATGCAGTAAAACTCGGAATTTGGATTTGAGTCACATAAAAATGGATACAATTTTCATTCAATTCATTCAATGAGGGAATATAATCCCCTATAATAATGTAACACATAACTTCTCTAACTAACCTACTACAGATTCATATGTTTCTATAGAACCCTGAGGTTGTGCTTTAGTGTTTCCAACATTTGATTGGTATTTTATCTTTTACTCATGGCAATTTTTATATATATTTAAAAAAAACACTCAAGCTTGAATATGCTATATACAACATTAAAGTTTTTTAAATCAATGTTTTAAAATTATAAAGTAGTTCAAAAAACTCAGATCACAATATAGAGTACTATAAGGAAAATTATGCACTTAGCCCCTATGTTTATCATATTGTCATATTATTCCACACTTCCTGTAGTTATAGTTACAGTTCTCTATAAAATCCTTTATTTCCATTATCTTTGCTCCCACTCAGTGGTAATCTGTTCTCACTAATTCCAAATGTATCATTTACAGTTAAGTTTTCTAATATTTCTATGTTTTTATTCATGTGTAAATAATATATAGTATGATTTTGCAGAATTTTTAACTATTAAATGCTATCTTAATACAGGTATTATTTTCAAATTGTTTTGTTTTATTCAACGTTATAAATATATGCTTCATTCCTACTAATATATGTGTTGCTCTAGTTTATTTTTACTGCACGATTTTTACAGCATTCTATTTTATGACTATATCAACACAATTTATTCTATTGATGGGCACTTCAAATATTTTCAATTATTCTCTTTTTCAAATAATGCTGCCATAAACAGCCTTGAACATTGTATCCTTTTGTGTACATAGAAGAGTTTCTTTGCTAGAAAAGGAGCTGCTGAGTTGTAGGGAATATTCATCTTCAAGTTTAATAGATATTACCAGTATACAGTTCACTATGTATGAAGCTTACATATTTTTCTTTCTAAAAGAGATTATGTTCTTTCTTGTGATAATATAGTGACACCTATAACCTACTGTGATTCTTTTTTCCTCTGGATTCAGATCTCAGTATAGTACTCAACCATGGTAACTGCTAGACTCTCCTCATCAACATTATGAGTCATGATTAAACAATAGTGAAGAAATCATATCATTTCTTTCTGCATGGTTTGCAGCAAAGAAGGCATTTGTTTTGTGGAAAGTAGAAATCAGGAATGTTAGACTGGGCACCTCTCTCTGTTGCCCTATCAGGGGAATGTTTGATTAGGTAAAGACTGACTGTATCCTAGTAAGTCCTCTGTAAATAGGCATACAGATCTCACAGGGCAAGGCTCTCGATATTTTGCAGCCTGGGAATCAAGAGTTAAATATTTTTACCCCTCCACCCCTGAATTCTCCTGGAAAGCCTATACATCAAGAAGCTCATCTTGTCTTTGGAACAAGACATCTTTGGTTTTTGATGTGTTACAGCTCAGGATCTAGCAATTTTTGTCCTCCTTTCCCAATCCTACCAAAAGTGATAAGCCTATTGGGGCCTACTGCCCTGATTCCGATCTTCCATATAGCCTCAAGTTCTCACGATATGTTAGCAAGACAATAATCTCTCCAATTCCCAGATGCTTCATTTATTTACAAGGGAGGTAACTAGGAATCGGGGAGGAAGTGTATTTTCTCAACACAGCCAGAAAGCGGCAAAAGAGAATGCAACCTACGCTTGCTTCTTAGCAAAATGTTCTTTGTACTATACAATTTATCCAAAATGATTCCCTTTAGTTTCTCTAGTTTTTCCTCTGAGACTTTGTCAGTATTTGCTAGACAAAATTGGATTTTGTAATGTATTCCTAGAAATAATGTTATATAAACATGAACTTTAGTCTCAACATTATGTAGGTCTTCTGCATGCAATATTCTCTCCAGGGAAATACTATGTTTTGCCTGTTGAGACTTACAGCCTCAGAAGTTCAAAGTAGGAATGGACTCTCAAAAAGTTACTCAATACTCTCAATTCCCAAATGAAACAAAAGTGAAAAATAAAATATAAAGAGGTTAAGTTACTTGCCCAGGGCCATGCTTCTAATAAGTGGCAGAACCACTATCATATTTTTTTCTGGTTATAACATTAAAGAATAAAATAAAAATCCACCATAAATTCCTACCACACAGAGATACCTACTATTAAAATATAATTGTGTATTTTTCCAATTGTGTCCATTAAGAGGAGAATCAATAAATAAATTAATTGCAGTATTTATTTGATACCATAATAATTACTACAGTTCTTTCGGGTTTAAATTCAATTTGAGTTTTTATTAGATGTGTGTCCTTGGGCAGGTTAATTAATTTATCTGGGCATAAGTTTCCCCATAAATAGGAGAAAATAGTAGAGCTGTTTTTAAGATTAGATGTCATAATACATGATAACATTGTCTTCCAGTAATCAATGTTTAGTGAAGCATAGCTAAATCATTCTGTCCAAATAAGTGAAAACATAGTTTGTGCTTCATTATAACAGGAAATATGTATTTTTATATTTTCTGGGCATTCTATAGTACCATATACATACATATATGCACACACATATATACACTCTAATTTATATTTTAAAATGTGAATTGTGTAGGAATAATTTTGTGTTTCTCTCCCATTTTAAAGAAAGGGAATCTATCAGGTCAATCAGAAACTTAAGTTATGTTGACCATAATTCTATGCCAGGAATTGGCATCGTACTGGGCATAAACACGCAAAAATTGTCATGTTCTGGAACAGAGAATCAGCTCAGTGGAAGCACTTATATCACAAACTCAACCACACCTTGGTGTTCAGCAATTAGATTCACATATGCATTACAAATTAGAAAAAATGACAAAGTATAGAAATATAACATTAACTATTTTAAATTGTGTGTAACTATTAGGAATATATATTATACACAAGCATATATTTGAATTAGGAGTAAATACTCTAGGTTGTTATCACTGCCTTTCTCTAGAAGTTTTTTCTAAATGTACTTTTCTATATTTTATTAATTCCCACTGTGAATTGTAAAACTCTTATAATTAGAAAGTTGCTAAAAGAGAAGTCAATCAAGGGATGTGTTCTCCCCTTTATGAATTATTGAGTATATCTGAAACTAAATACCCTTTATATTTGAATACAAAGATGAATCTTTGGTTGTCCAACTTAGACTGATTTCACAAATTACACTGTGCCGTGAATTAGGCCACAAATCTATGTTTTTGCCTATACTGCTCCAACGGCCTGGTATCCAGTTTTCTCTTTTTATCTCCACTACTCTGTTATCACCCTAAGAAAAAAACTTAACCATCTCTACAGACACAATTAGTTTCTCTTTCTGAACTAAGACTTTTAAAATTATCTACTAAAAATTGAGCACTTCTATCTTTTTGACCGACTGTAGTTTGAACATATATTTTTCATAAACCTGAAACCTGAAGCAATTATTTTGTACTTTTCCAAGTATGTGTCTGTACCCTGAGATCAGAGGCTCTGTCCAATTATCTTTGTTTTCCCAGTTATTGGCAGACTAGGTGAATATTTGTTGAAGATGGGGTTGGAGGGAGAGAGGAGGATGGAAGGAATAAAAGAAAGAAGGGAGAGAGGAAATGACAAAAAGAGGGAGGTAGGAAACAATGAAATAAATATTTAGTGATGTGCAAAGAATAGATACCTCTCATAGAGATTTGAAGCATCCCTGGGAATTTATTTGAGGTGAGTCTACTATTCATATTTTTCCATGCATAGACATACTTGTCCAAAAGGCTGAAAAAAAATTGAAATTAATGTCATGAGAGACAACTAGGTGAATCTAAAAATTAAAAAATGAATTGTGCATATTGATATACATGCTAGCCTTTGCAAAGAATTTTAGAATTTTTATAACACCTTTCACATATAGTCTTCTTAAAATCTCAGAGAAACCCAATGACCTAAATATTTATTGCCAGTTTAAAATTAGGAAACTGAGGTTCAAAAAGGTAAAATGACCTGTTCCAGTTTACACAACTAAAAAATGGCAGTTTATATTTTAGTAACACTTATCCAAAGTCTTAGGGGGCTTAACACAAACAAGGTTTATTTCTCATTTGTGTTTTTCCACCATGTATCAGCAGGGAGAAACCACATATTGTAGACTCTCAGCAACCCAGGCTGATGCAGAAGGCACCATCTCAAACATTACTAGTTATTGCATCAGAAGGATGGAGAACTCACCATTTCACATCAGCAATTAAATGTTCCACTTCGAAGTGACACATGCCACTTTTACTAACAAACTTATTGGTCACATGGACTGACCCAACCACAGTAGGGCAAAGAAATACAATGTTAGCATGTGACTGGAAGTGAAGAGAACTGAAAACTATATGGCAATATTTTTACCTAGTATCTAATACTCCTGAGTGAGAATTCAAGTACTTTTTTGGTACACAAATAGAAATAACCTGCTCTTAAAATTTTAGATTTCTTAAAACTCATGTACATCAAAATAAAATTATTTTTATAATTGAATAATTTCTTATTCAGAAATAAGTTGGTCCTGAAGCAGTCTATTCTGAACCAGATAACTGCATGCAGTTTAGTTCAGTCTGTACCTGTTTAGTCCAATTCCATTTATATTTATATTTAGAGTTAAGACATATAAACATAATCTGATAAACTAGAGTCAGATTATAGAAAGGGAAAATAGGGCTTCTTCAAGAGGATTTTATTTAGGGATGAAGGAATTGGTATGAACAGAAACTGGCCTCTTTCAACATTGAGGTTTTATGTGTATCCATCCTAGCCCCCAGCTATGATTGTGTATAAGACCAGGGAGGATAAAGGGGCTTTGTGTCAATTCCAAGGTCTGTTTCACTAGATAAGTCATGTTTCGAGACCCAAATAAGTCTACTGTAGAATAATTATTTTTACAATTGAACATATCCTTTACAAGTGCAGGGGTGCTTGCATCTTGGCAGCAGTATTGCTGGTTCATGACATCTTAGGCCACTGGAAATGGTGCCATTGTAAAGCCAAAACCTTTAAGTAGGTTTGGAGTCCAGCAGCTAGGAAAGCCTCATCAGACTAGCAAAAATGGTCATGACAAAAGAACATCTCAAAGAGCTCATATTCAGTAAATATTGCTGGTAGAAATCGAACCAATGCCAAAGACAGAGAGATGTAGTTTCTTCACGCAGAATCTCTATAGAACAGTTGAGGTTAGTGCCTGTGGAATCCTGAATTGGTTAATAACGATTAGTTGATTTCCACAAAGATTCATTCATTATATATCTACTAAGTACCTATTCTTTGCAAATCATGGTCCTAAATTTTTCTAGGTGTTGGACAACACTAGGTAAGTAAATAAATTTTCTACTCTCACGGAGCTAAAATTTAGGAGGAGGACAGAAAATATAAGTATATGAGGAAATAAAGTAATTTTAGATATTCACCCCCAGGATGTGAAAGAAAGGAATCAAGGATGACTTCTAGGGTTTGGTGAATAGTTATACCATTTAATGTATAATGTAGAAGAATAAGAGTTTCATAAGAGTTCCAAAATCAAGTGTTCAGTTTGGGACAAGTAAATTTTGAGATGCTGACAAGATATTAGTGGAAATGTTGACTGGGCAGTGGCATTCAGGAGCTTGATGGATAATCATGTGTCTGCACTGCAACAAGCACTGATTTAGAGGTGGGAGCGTTGGTAGTGCAGCCTGGGGTAAAAATAAAGGCTGGCATCCATTGGCTGCCTGGACTGATTCATAGGTTATGTAACCCATCTCTTGTGTACACACAAATGTGCCCAATATTGGGATATAAGAAATGCATCCAAATAACGTGTCCCCATGTTATTTTCACTGTACAATGTATTTCACAATTAATATTTAGTCAATGTGTACAGATAAGTGATGCTTTCTTAGGGGAGACAGTGTGGTATAATGAGAGGTTACTGGGTGTGGAGCCAAAGTGTGATAATTCTCCTTCAACGAAGAACTTGTTGCTTCAACTGCTGGGAGTCCTATTGGCAGACAATCTTCAGCTGTCAGCACCTTCAGAGATTGATTCTGCCACAGAGAGCCACTTTTCTCAAGGTCATGCTCCTTTCCAGAGTGGCCCACATTCAATTACTGATCTATTGGTCTAAGTGGGAATATTTATGCTGGGGCATCTAAGCCCAGCTTGGGACCACTCTGCAGGAAACTGCAGAATCTAGCCTAGTGGGGCTGGTAGTCATTAGGCCTGTGTCGCAACTCAGCTTCTGCTCAGTCCTGTTGCTAGCCTCCCATTCACAAGTGTTGGTGCCAAGGGCACTCTTTTATAAATTCCCGCTCACTACACACTATCCTGGCACCTGCTCTCTGGGGAACCCAACTTGCAGCACAGAGACTATTTCTATTTTATTATTTACCATGTAAATATACTTGTGGTTGTTTGACAGCTTGGCAAAATTTTTGACACTATTCCCGGAAAAGTTGAAATCTCCATTCCCTACTTGTGAAACTAGATGGATCTTTGCTACTGTTTCAACAAACAGAGGAATATGGTGGGAAAGGGGGCTGTGTGATGTGTAACTTATGAAGCTAGAGAGCAAAGGACATGAGATTTCTGCTGGTCCCTCTTGGACATTCATTCTGGGAGCCTTTTGTTCCCATGCACAAAGCCCAGCTACCCTGAGGTTGCTCTGCAGAGAGACAATGGATAGAAAACAGAGAGTGTTACGTCTGAGGATCCCCAACTATTCTAGATCCCAGATGTTTGAGTTGTTTCAGACCAGGCACCAAACATGTGAATAAAGCCTTTGAGATGCCCTCAGCCCCAGCCATCAATGACGAAAACTGCATGAGAGACTCCAAACAAGGATTGACTAGCTAAGCCCAGGCAACTCTCAGGTGAGAAAAAAATTAGTTATTGTTTTAAGTCATTGTTTTAGGATGGTTTGTTCACAGCTATAAATAGTTGTAACAATAATTAAATTATTTTAATTTTCTCAGCCTCAATTTCTCTATGATATGGGAATAATTTTATTAAAACCTTCTGAACCTATTGCACTAGCATGTTTTGGAAATAACAGTAACAGCATATGGAAACTCGCTTTATAAGCTGTAAGATGCATTAACTAGAGGTACAATTTATTATAATTATCATGATAAATCCTCATTAACATGGAATGGAGTGTACAGAATACCAAAAAATAACGGTTCCTTATCTCAAGGAGTAACAATATTGGCTCTCAGTTTATAATCATTTATTCTAACCACAAAAAAGTAAACAGAAGGGTCTGGAATGGGAAAGGGAAAATGGAAATCAAAAATGGATTTAAAAGCAATAATGTAATATTTGTTTTTCCTTATCTGCCCCTTCTGTACAGCTCAGATCAAAAGAGTATTTTCAGGTATATTTGCAGAAGACAAAACTTCGTCCTCTGCAAGCTTCAAGCATGGAAACTTGGCACTTAACAACTCTCTCTTTTACATTCCCTAAATGTTGCTCATACTACCCTCCTCTGCTTGTTCTCTGCCCTACATATTTTGAATGCCTTTATCTCTAAGTAGATATAAACACCATTAAAGAAATAGTCCAGGGATTCTTCATACTTGTGCCTTAAGAATAACTGTCAGAGTACTTTGTAAACAGAAGGCACCTAACACGTGTTTACAAAATAAACTCCAAAGATTGCAAATACAATTTTAAAGATACTAAAGGATCAATGATTACTTATTACTAATCTACTTTTTACTTAATTGAAAATTAGGAATTCAATGATCAGTTTAAATGGATTTTTCTTTTTTAATTTTATTTTAGAGGTTCCAAGATTTTCCCCAAGTCTTTACTAGTGTAAGCTGCCAAATATTCCAATTCTCCTAACTCCTGCTCCACCAGGCACATTTTGAAATTGCATTTTCTCAGCCCCTTGTGATGAACAGTTGTAGCAAATTCTGATTATAAATGATGTGTATCTCTTTGGGTGTAACATTGAAGTCACAGATATAAATCCTCTCAAATTTTTTGTTCCCTCTGGCAATGATTTGCAAGATTCTAGGTAGTAGCTGCTCCATTGACTAGCTCCCATAGTGACTATGAGCAGAAACACCTTCTCTCTCTTCTGACCTGAAATGAACATGAAGCATCAACAAAAAAATAAGCCATTGTTACTTTTCAAGCCCTTGAGGTTTTTTTTCTGTTGTTGTTGTTTGTTTGTTTTCTGTTTTTTTTCCACAGCATAATTCCCTGATATAGTCTTAAGTATAGATAGACTATACACTTAGTGACCAAAACTGATTGATGGGTTTGGCAAAGCCTGAGAGCAGAAGAGTCACAGCCCTGGTACAATTTCTCTCCTTTCCAGTTATTTGTCAGTGGAATCTAAATTGGTTTAGTAAATCAGTACTAATCTTGAAATTCCACTTTGTTACCATAGAGACCACAAGTCAGTACTTCTAATGACTGAGTCATATGTACTTTTATGCTTTCCAAACTCTATGTTATTTCTGTTAGAATAGCCTATTGTATCTCAAATTATGTCTGGAGTTGTCTTAGGTGAGTTCCCCAGAAAAGATTCTGAGACAAAGATTTGTATTCAGAAAGTTTATCTGGGAGTGCTGTCCAGAACACACATGACCGAGTGAAGAAAACGTACTTGTCCAGGGGAGATGCTGAACTGCCATGCCATCAGAATAAAAACCTCAGCTGATGGCATGGGGAGCTGTTTAGATGGCCCTTTATAGCTGTCCTGGTTGAAACAAAAGGTATGGACTCCTGTGTCTCTGCATCAACCAGTCATTGGATATAGGTGACCACAGGGGAGGAGATGAAACTTTCAGCTAGGCAAAGCCTAGGAAGGAACTCAATGATGAGCTGTCACCAGCCAAGACTCTTGCCAAATGAAGGAATTTATGCCTCTGTCCTGAAGGGGGATTCTGTATGATGCAACACAGCAACCACTGTAAAAGCAATATAAGTTTCTAATGAAATCTTTGGCAACCTGCCACCAAGTTATCTCCTGTTGAAACCATTACTACAGTTTCTGTCCACCATGATCTGTCCACTTGGATTGCTGTTTCCCTGTCTCCAACCATCAAATACATATTTGACCTGAAGAATTCAGCTTAAACATCATCTAGTAAAATCCTCCAAAAAAATCTCTCCTGATGATGTTACCAACCATGATTTTTTTTTTTTCTTCTCATGGACTTTCTTGGCATCCTACACCAAAACTGTTTCATAAGTTTGCTTTGTGTAAGAAAAAAGCCCTCTAAGTGGATGACTATGGAGCTGATGCTCAAACCTGAGGTATAAAGAAACCAAGATGGAGGTTAATAGAGGTGGGAGAAATAACTTGACAAATTCAGTAGGAGATTCTTTAGGACTCATTTGTTCCTCTAGGGTCCACACAGATAACACTAGGGCTGAGTCCCAAAGTGTCCTGTAGTCCAGGGCTATGTTTTGTAAGCCAGATTCTTCTCTTTTCACCATAATCTATGAATTGCTTCCTCATTAATATTCCCAAAGCTTTAGTAAAGGATTTTTCTAAAGTTCCTTTCTTGACTTGCCCTTGCTTCAGAACCTTAAAAGGAGAGATCATTTCAATTCCTTCTTAGGGCTTTTGTGCCCCTTCCCCACCCACGACTCCATCCCCATCTGTTACCAGAAAGGGGTCCTGATCCAGACCCCAAGAGAAGGTTCTTGGACCTTGCACAAGACAGAATTCAGGGCGAGTCCATAGAGTAAAGTGAAAACAAGTTTATTAAAAAAGTAAAGGAATAAAAGAGTGGCTATTCCACAGGCAGAGCAGTGGCATGGGCTGCTCAACTGATTATACTTATAGTTATTTCTTGATTATTTGCTAAATAAAGGGTGGATTATTCATGAGTTTCCTGGGAAAGTGGTGGGCAATTCCCAGAACTGAGGGTTCCTCCCCTTTTAAGACCATATAGGGTAACTTGCTGATATTGCCATGGCATTTGTAAACCATAATGGTGCTGGTGAACGTGTCTTTTAGCATGCTAATGCATTATAATTAGTGTAATGAGGAGTGAGGACTACCAGAAGTCACTTTCATCACATCTTGATTTTGGTGAGTTTTGGCCAGCTTCTGTACCACATCCTTTTATCAGCAAGGTCTTTATGACCCATCTTGTGCCAAACTCCTATTTCATCCCGTAACTAAGAATGCCTAACCTCCTGGGAATGCAGTCCATAGGTGTCAGCCTCACTTTACCGAGCCACTATTCAGGACGAAGTTGCTCTGGTTCAAACATCTCTGACATATTTTCCCCCTCCCTTTTACAGGGGAACCCTTAATCTTAAGGGTTGTAAACGGACAAATATCCATCTTCTGTAACATCTTCAGGCTGAAGAGGGGTGATGATATTCCTGCCTATTAGGGTCTCTTGTATTCAGGGTAGAGAGGAGCTCAGTCAGAAAGTGTAGGTATGGCGAGGGCCACTCATAACTCTGAGTTCCAACAAAATGTGGCATCTGAAAGATGAATAAGTATTTAATTCAATAAAACATTCAGTAAGCTTATCCTGAATTCCTATACGAAGAGTGCAATAGTAATAAATTCCACAACAGTAAAGCAAAATAAGGAAAATTATCCCCAGTAAACTAAATAAGAAGGCTTTCCATGAACTACACCACTGTTGGAAGCAAGCTGATACGGGATTGCTAACTGATCCCAATATGTACCCAGATGTAGAATACTGATCTGGATTTTTACATTACCCATCCCTCACGTTTATTCTGAGCTGCAGCTGGAGATCACTAGTTGGTTTACAGGAATAAGCAGGGTAAGTCCAAATTGCAACAACAACAACAAAAAACCCTCAAAAATAACTGATGAGACTAGAATCTGATAGGGTGCACAATAGTTTTAGAAACGTAATTTTTCTCTTTCCAGTCTCCCATTTTTACTAAAGACAAATGATAGTAAGACCGACTTGCTTTATTATCCTTGGCCTGATTATTTATATGAAGTGCAGCAAGAATGATTATTTTTCACATAGGCTTTTTACATTAGTTTTAACACAACTTTGTTCCATAGAAGGAATATCAAATAAGACCTTTTTTAAAGCCAAGCCCAGACATGGGTTTTTACTGTCAAATACCTATGTGAGTTGGCTCCTCTTGAGGTCTCAAGATAACCTGGGGCTCCTGGGTCTGTCAGAAAATTACATTCTTTACATACCACAGGTCAAGAACTCTGTACAGGGACTTCATAGACAAGCTATGAGGCCAGTTTTCCCAAGGGGCCTTTACTGGTTCTAAAGGTTAAGCATGCCATTCCAGTCAAAGCCTTAGTAAAATAATCACTTTCTCCAATTGTGTCCTGTTACAAAAGAAAACAGATTCTTATTGCACTTATGCAAATAACTATGTTATCATAAGTTAAGAATACTCACAAATGGTTTCCAAATTCTGGAAAAATCAGGTAGCAAGAAACAAATATGCTCCAAATTTTGTTCACAGAAGTATAATTGTATTAGTCCGTTTTCATACTGCTATGAAGAAATACCTGAGACTGAGTAATTTATAAAGAAAAAGAGGTTTAATGGACTTACAGTCCCCTTCCCACATGGCTGGGGAGGCCTCACAATCATGGCAGAAGGTGAAGGAGGAGCAAAGGCATGTCTTACATGGTGCCAGGCAAGAGAGCATGTGCAGGGGAACTGCCCTTTATAAAACCATCAGGTCTCATGAGACTTACTATCATGAGAACAGCACGGGAAAAACCCATCCCCGTGATTCAATTGCCTCCCAATGGGTCCCTCCCATGACACATGGGGATTATGGGAGCTACAATTCAAGATGAGATTTGGGTGGGGACACAGCCAAACCATATCAATACTTTACTCAATTCTTAAAAGTTGTAAATAGCTCAAAAGAAAAGTTTCTTGGCTCTGAGAAACAAAACAAAGGATCAGCAATGTTTTAAGCCAAAAGCCAAAAAAGATTACTTTAGGCTTCTATTAGTTCAGTCCATGCAATTAACGCCTGTTCTGCTTGATATTCATGAACAGTTCAGCCCTCCATGAGAGTTCTGAAAGTTTTTCCTCTATTATAATGTCACAGTCTCCAAAGTTATCAGAAACCTGCATTCAAGAGCACCTGTCAAAGTCTTATAGCTGATTATAAACCACCTTTTGAAGGGGATCAAAATAAGACAGCAATTGTCCATGGTTGACAAAAAGTCTTAGAACAGCCACTATTAAAGCCACAATTGACAAGAAAATTTTGGTTACTTCTGTGGCATACAACAATTTTACATAATAATTATGACTATTAATAACATCCACTAAATCATATCAGAATTATAGGAGTTTCCCATAATTTTGGAACACATACCTAAAACATATTTACACAAATACATCTTTTACTTCTTAATAGAGGGAAGACTTAGCTTTCCAAACAATCTGACTCTTTCCTTTCCCTTCTTTTTCTTATAGTTTATTTAAAAGGCAAACAAAAACATTTTCGTATTTTTTAATATAACATGAAAACCTTGTTCAACAGAGAAAGCCAAATTTCACCTTTGCATTAATGCAGTATTGATGCCAAACCTAATTCTTAAAAAAAAAACCTTATAGACTAATCTATCCAATCTTAATCAGTTAGATCATAAGGTAAGATTCTCATAAACCTTTTATAACCCTTTACAATTTTTTCTTAAAGAGTAGATCACTGCTCTAAGAAAACCCTGTTGTGCTTTTATTCCAATGTTCAATTTATGAAAAAAACTGAATAATACCTCCTTTAATTTTAGCTAATATGTTCACACACAGAATTTCTTTTATAAGATTAATTGTTCACAAACCTTCCACAACTTGTTTAAACCTTCAGCTTTTTTCTATCTAGCTTGAAAAAAGTTTTTAAGCCTCTAAACTAGGCCAAAAAAATCCGTATTCCCATGCCTTCTTATAATTTTTTACCAAAAACACGTCACTGTCCTTACACACCTTGTATGTAAAACTGCTTATTCAGTAGACTCAATTAAACGTTACAATGCTAACTGAGCAACTTTTATTTTTGGTGAAAAATCTGGTAAGTAAGGATTTTAATTATCTATCAGGTGTGGAGCCTAAGACACTAGACATAAGTCCAGATAAGGTCCTTTTTCAGCATAGCCGGGGGCATGGCTAACTCCACATGTTCCCATGCCTTACCTGGAATCTAATGGCTCCAAAGCAGGTAAGTTGAACAATTATCAAGTTAAAAAAGCACTTTATGATATTAAAGCATTTGGCAAACCTAAATCTGACTGGCGCAATTTAGACCAAATGTCTTTATTTTACCAATAATCTTTAAAACTGTCTCTAATTCCTAAAGATTATTAAAGTCACGTGAAGTAAAAGGCATTTGTTTTTATTTTTCTGATAATATTTGATTTAATTGCCTATTATCTTTAAACCAATTAATCAGAGCTCTTTTATATATAAACACCACACACACAACACATGTAAATATGCAGACAGACAGAAAATCCAGTACTTGGAAGATTTTCCATTTGCTTACAATCCATTAAGTTTCTTAATTGGATTGCTGGCTTTAGGGTGGAGCCCTTGGAGGAACAGGACTGGGAAAGCATGCAGTTTCCAGGGCCTAATAAGCAGGCACAGCTGGAAGGCAAAGCAGAGCCCCAAAATTAAGGGTCTCATTTTTATATTAGATCCTGGATCCCCAAAGAAAAGAGGGAATCAGGAATGAGATAATGTCCTTTGCAGGGACATGGCTGAAGCTGGAAGCCATTATCCTCAGCAAACTAACACAGGAACAGAAAACCAACCACCACATGTTCTCACTTATAAGTGGGAGCTGAACAATGAGAACACATGAATACAGGGAGGGGAACAACACACACTGGGGCCTGTCGGGGAGGGCATCAGGATAAATAGCTAATGCATGTGGGGTTTAATACCTAGATGATAGGTTGATAGGTGCAGCAAACCTCCATGGCATATGCTTACCTATGTAACAAACCTGCACATCCTGCACATGTATCCCAGAACTTAAAGTTAAATTTTAAAAAAGAGGGAATCAACCCATCTCCCATAGGAGTCTCATCTCTCAGTGGGGAATGGGGACATTTTCATACTTTCTAGGTGGCCAAGAACATGATTCTCTAATCCAAACATGCAAAATGCCAAGTATCTCCCTATAACTGCCATTAGCCATCCCCAAAAGTATATTTCCTACCTAGTTATTACACACCAAAGCTCTCTCATAATGCAAAGTAATTTCTGATACCCCTAAAAGTCAATACTGTCAGACATCACAGTGCAAAACAGAGGAGAGCCTTAGATTTTGAGAGGGATCTATCTGATTTCAATTTCTGGGTTTTCATGAAGAAAGCAGAGGTTTTTCCTCAAACAGGGTCTGTAGTGCCTCCTGTTTTTCCCAAGGAGTCCCAGGCTGTTAGAGCTTGAATATCCACTTTTAATTAAGCTGACTTTTAACCATAGCATTCTTTTAAAAAAAAAAAATCTCATTATCAGACTCTAGCCAGGCAAAACAGCAAATACTTGTAGCTTTTGAACTTTACCAAAGGTAACCTCCCAGGTACTCAGAAAAAGGAAAATTCAAGAAAGGAAGTCAGAAGTTGTTCTACGGCACTGGGCAGTCTCCATTGCCCTTCCCAGAAGGAGTCTAGAGCAGCCAATTTTGAGCTTGCAAAGCCTTTTAACTGCTCAATATAATTTTTAGGGCTAACTATGATATGAACCCCAAAGTTCCTGTTCTCTGAATGGCAGAGACAAAGAGGAAGTACTGCCACATGGTTATAAGGTCAAGCTCCCAAGAACATAAAACAAGACAAGAGGGGAACTTCAGTTTTGTTTTTGTTTTGTTTTGTTTTGTTTCAGGGATCTGAAGCAAAGTTTGTAAGTGACCAGTTTGATGGGCTGTCTTGAACAGCAGTCTTATAGGGTGTATTAGTCAGGGTTCTCTGAAGGGACAGAACTAGCAGATAGATGAATAAATGAATGGGAAATTTATTAGGAGAATTGTCTCACATGATTACAAGGTGAAGTCCCACAATAGGCCATCTGCAAGCTGAGAGGCCAGGAAGCCAGTCCCAGTCCTAAAACCTGAAAAGTAGGGAAGCTAATAGTGCAGCCTTCAGTCTGTAGCTGAAGACCCAAGAGCCACTGGCAAATCATTGGTTTAAGTCCAAGAATCCTAAACTAAAGAACTTGGAGTCTGATGTTCAAGGCCAGGAAGCATCCAGCATGGGAGAAACATGGAGGCCAGAAGACTCAGCCAGTTTAGTCTTTCCACATTTCTCTGCCTGCTTTTATCCTAGCCAAGCTGGCAGCTGAATAGATGGTACCCATCCAGATTGAGGGTGGGTCAGCCTCTCCCAGTCCACCAACTCAAATGTTAATCTCCTTTGGCAGCACCCTCACAGACACACCCAGGAACAATACTTTGCATCCTTCAATCCAATCAATTTGATACTCAGTATTAACCACCAAATGGGGGCTTAAGCCTGTATTCTATCCTAAGGTAACCCTCCTTCTGACAGAACAATCTGGAAAGACAAATTTATAGCACAAAGTACAGCAAATTCACTACAGCTTAAGACTAACTTAATGGGAAAATTCTTTTTCCTATTAATTAAAACTTTACACAGGAATAAAGAGGGATGTTTACCATTCCTATAACTCGTTTGCACAGAGAGGCCAGAAGTCTGAATGGTAAGAAATTCTTACCCTTTTGCTGGCATGCCAGGCTTCTGGGTTCCCTTTCCCTGAGCAGCCCTAGTGACCTGTCTTGTGGCACCATAGCCCTAGGGGCCAAACCACAACACAAAGGAAAATCACCTTTTTCCATTTCATGAAACCATAGGCAAAAGCCTCTCAATTTTGCAAGATGTCACCCAAGAGATTGCATGGGGTAACCCAATTAACATCTTCCAAACCAGCCAGAGCAAAATAAATGTGACAAAACATAGACATTAGCCACTCTGCTTAGCACCCAGTATCAAACTGGGAAGGCTCAAACATGATTCTAGTTGGGCCTTTTCATCTTTGATCCACTCAAATTGGTGTGGAATGATCTTCTGACCAGGAGTTTCCACATGTGGTTTCTGGGCAAACTGAAACCGTAGACAGTTGCCCTGAGTAACAGAAAAGATAGAAAAGAGAAAGGAAAGAAAGAAAGGGAGAAAAGCATTGCCTGCAGCAGGGTGAGGAAAATGAGGAGCTCAGGGAGGCCAGACAAGACCGATCCATTGCAGCAACACTGAATCTAAAGTTCAGGTGGCCAATTGTCTCATCAGCTCTCAAATTTCCCCTTTAGGGAGAAAATGCTCCCCATATCCAGTGATCCTATATACACCTAATCCTGTCACCCACAGACATCAGCAAACAGTGCAAGGCAGATTAATACAAAGAGAATAATGGTTAATATCCCATAATGTGAAATCCATTTTTAACCAAGAAGGACTTTACTGAGAGGAGCTTCTAACCCCCTTAATCTTAGGAAGGACTCTAACCTTCCTAGTTTGGGCCTTGAACCTAAGTTCCATCAAGCGTCCTTGCCTTTTATTAAGAGGGGCCTTTAAGCTCTCTGTCTTAGGAGAGGCTCTAACTCTCCTAAGTTGGGCCTCTAACCCAATTCCATCCTTTAACCAGGTAAAATGGTTCCTATCACTTACCCAAAGTCATACAATTGGTGATCTAATCTATTTCTTTTGGGTAGGGAGTCTCCTTAGTTTAATCTCATTGTGGTCACCAGGAAGATGTTACCAGAAAAGGGTCCTGATCAAGACTTTAAGTGAGGGTTCTTGGACCTCATGCAAGAAAGAATTTGGGGTGAGTCCACAGAGTAAAGTGAAAGCAAGTTTATTAGGAAAGTAAAGGAATAGAAGAATGGCTACTCCATAGACAGAGCAGTGGCATAGGCTGCTTGACTGATTATACTTATAGTTATTTGATTATATGCTAAACAAGGGGTGTATTATTCCTGAGTTTTCCAGGAAAGAGGTGGGCAATTCCCAGAACTGAGAGTTCCTCCTCTTTTTAGACCATATAGTATAACTTCCTGACATTGCTATGGCATTTGTAAACTGTCATGGCACTGGTAGGAGTGTCTTTTAGCATGCTAATGCATTATAATTAGCACATAATGAGCAGTGAAGACTACCAGAGGTTACTTTCGTCACCATCTTGGTTTTGGTGGGTTTTGGCCAGCTTCTGTACCATATTATTTTATCAGTAAGGTCTTTGTGACCTGTATCTTGTGCCAACCTCCTATCTCATCCTGTAACTAAGAATGCCTAACCTCCTGGGAATGCAGCCCAGTGGGTCTCAGCCTCACTTTGCCCAGACCCTATTCAAGATGGAGTTGCTCTGGTTCAAATGCCCCTGACACACCCATGGCTGAAGTCTATGTGGTTGTCCTGGTGTTAATTATTGAAGGATTCTGCCAAGGGGTAGGGAAATGTTAGAGAGTAAGCATCTGGGCTGTCAAATCTAACTGTCCTTTTCCCAATAGAAATCCTCCTTACAGAATCAACCTTTTGTTATCTGTTTTAAGTTTTATTTTTCAGGGAAACAACTTTTTATACTTTTAATTAAAATTATTTGTACATAAATTTTATTTCCTCATGAGACCTTAAAGTACTTGAGATAAAAAATTTAGGAAAACCACTAGAAGCCTCAATTTTCCCATTTGCAAAATGAGTGGCAAAAATTTTTCAAAGGCCCTTTCATCCATATTACTTGCTAATTTTATACAACTCAGCCTAAAATTATAGGATGTCACAATTCTAGGCAGGTTGAGTATACTTTATCTCTGGTTTCCATATTAGTTTTCTGGCTGATATGCTGCCTATATCTTTTTGTTATTTTCAGGTAAAATAACTGCTCTGGAAAAGAAGGCAAGAAAGTAAAACAAGGCAATTTCACCACAGCCATCATCAGGAACTCAGGGGCAATTTGACTTAAAGCAGCTTGAAATTTTAAAAGAAAAACAGAAAATGCAATCTGTTTTCTCATTTGGTCTGTTTCCTCTTTAAACAAGCACACTCTAACTCTCTAAAGATTTCCCCCTAAAAAGAAAACACATTGCTCAGCTTGACCTATAATTTAAATCACAATTAAGCTTCCAGTTAGAATGTATCTTCATCATAAATCTACTATAAATCCCCCAGTGTTCTGTTAAATTGCCTTAGCCTCTTAAACAGCAGGACCCCAGTTTTATTTTCCCTAGTTATAAAATGCTGGATTATAGCTTATTTATGAGTTTCATGAATAAGACAAATTTGATTGCCATTCACGAAGAAATTCTCACCAGGTTATTATATTCCTAGATCCTATTAACTAATAAAAATACAGAAACTAAAAATTACTCCAAATTAGTCATTCAAGTAGAAATGCTTGCAAGACTTCTTTGTATAAAAAGAAGATGCCACCAAACAGCACTATTAAGAACATTTCCTCCTATTGCTCCTGGTCATCACTGCTACCTCTGCTAAATCCAATCTGCTTTTTATAAACATTTATAAATCTACCTTTTAGCCTGCTATAGCAATCATTCCTGAGGGACATTGCTTTTTCACTAGGAATTTACTCCTTATGAGCAGTGCCTAAAGTGGTTCAGATTTTATGTCCTTGACCTAAATCTGGGTACCCACTATAAATCCAAACTCGACGGAGAATGTCCAAGCGTCTGGTGAAATGGGTCATCTGGGGTTTCAAAGATTTCAGGGCTTCCATAGTCACATGGACAGGACAATTACTTGAGGCATGAAGACTCATAGGTACCCCTAGGGTAGTGTAAAATTGTTGCAAAAAGTTCTGTTTTATAATCCATAAAATAAGAATTGATATTCACTACTATATAAGCTCCATACAGCAGAAATTTTTGTAAGTACTCAATTATTTGTTGAATGAGTGGATGGACTTTCATCTCAGCTCCGCTCTGTGATCAAAGCCTAGTTCCAAGATCCAGCTTCTTCATCTATGAAAAGGAAATTACATGTATTACATGAAGTAACTTAGGAAATGTGTATGGAACTAAGTACAGCACAAGTATAAATCAATATTCTAAGCAATAAAATTACTTTCTAATAATCATTTTAAATAATTCAAGCTAAGTCTGAAATAAAAGATTATTTAAATCCTTGAAAGGCAACAATGGGGAAAACTGTTGTTTAAAAATTGCAAGCGTTTTCTTTCTCTTAAAACGTGAGGGATTAAACTTTCAGGCACAAACAACTTTTGTTTTTGTAAAGTCATCTGAATGGATACTCATTTACACAAATGTAGAACAATGGTTCCCAGTTGCAATAGAAATATTTTAGACATGTAGCAGCAAAGAAATGAACTGCTTTGCTTTATATTTTAACATAGTGACATTAATGTAAACTGGTTTATTTTAAAAATATCTTTCTTTTATTAGCATAAGGACAGAAAGATGTTTTTAATACGTATGTACCTAGACCATTCCATGCCTTACATTTTCGCTTGTCCTTATGAAATTGCATGAGTGTTTTCCCGAAGAAGTTGCCCACAGGAGATTGGGAGAGAATACTGGCAACGGCAGAAAAGACTTGGAGACATGATCTTCATCATCTAATGACAAGGGACATAAAGAGAACATGATTTGGATTGCTAAAGCCTCACCTGAACTCCACTGTGGATTTCCTACAAATGCTGTTATTTAAAAACACATCCTCTAATTCTCAGAAATGTATCGATGCCACACATTATCATGGTCTGAAGACCCTCAGGAACCAAAGACGAACCAAAACCACACTCTTATGAGTGGGGGTGGAGTTTGGAGAGAATGGACTATAGGGAGTAGGGAGACCAAAATAGAATGCACAGAAGTCTATGAATTCCCCATTTCCCACCTACCTGTAATGGGATAGAGGTGGGAATGGAAGTCAATATTTGAAGATAAGGCCAGCATGGGAAAGGGAAGAGAGATAGTGATCAAGGTAATTCCTGAGTTTCTATGCACACTAATGTTTGATGGAGTATGCATGTAATCACCTAGGAACTTAAATATGGGTAAAAATAACAACAAAACAACAACAAACTTTCATCTGAAAAATCCGGAAAACAATAGTTTCTGGTTTGGAGAGAATGACCATCTTTATAATCTTTGTATGTTCATGTAGTCGCTCATCCCTTCAATTAACACTTATGGAGCACAACTCTGTCTCCAAAATTGAACTGGATGCTGGGTTTATAGACACTTACAAGGCAAGACCACTGACATCAAAGTGCTCACAGTGGGTGACAAACATATAAATAAATACATGTAACAGGAGTCTGTATAATTCATAAAACAAAGGAGGGTTGGTAATTATACCTCGACAGCAACTAAGAAAGTGGTATCTGAATTAGAGTCTTTCAACCCAAAACTGCAGCCGTTCATAAAGCATAGAAGCTTGTTTTTACTTTACAGGCAAAAAAAAAATTGCAACCAGAGGTAAAGAATATGGTGCCGAGAGCCCTCTGAAGCATACAGCTGGCATAAATATTTCATGGTACATTCCTCAGCCTACTATCACAGTGGTCACTGATGATATTACACAAATAGAATATGTTGATAATAGGGATTTTTTTTTAAGTTTTCAATATTAGATCATTGAGAAATGATCACTACAATGAACTCACTGAACCTTAAAATACTATTTTGTGAAATATATTGTATATTTTCAAGTATTTTTTTCTTTTTTAAACTATTCTTTTCTGGCACCTTAATGAGTGAGCAGCAAATGAACCCCATGAACTTATTCATATTGAACCAATATTTATTAAATATCTACTATGTGACAAGCACCAATATGTATCACAAAGGTATGTCACAATGAGAATGGAGGTCAGAAGAAAAGTGTGGATAAAGGGTTAAGGGATTATGGAAGAGGTTGCAAGTAACTCGAGAAATGGATCAGATTTGGGGTTTAAATACACATAGAAATACACAAGGGGGAGAAGTGAAGAGTCAAAGGGCATTTCAAGTTCACCATGTGCAAAGGAAGATGGAGAAGTGAACACTAATGCTTCAGGAATGACGAAAAGATGGTGCATAAAATGTTCCATAACCTGCCTTCTGTGGATCTCATACTAAATCTTGCTACTTCTTGCATCATACATTACATTTATCTTCTGTGCCATTGACTGTGCAATCTACTCTATTTAGATGACTGCCTTTCACTCTTCATTTCTCCTGGTTAATGTCTTTATACAAGTCTTCTCCACTCAACTATGGATTCCTTGGAGACAGGCAGACATCTTATTCATCTTTGTATCCCAGCACATAACACAATTCTTGGCACAATGCAGGCATTCTATAAATGCCTATTGAATCCACTGATACATCTATCCACCAACAAAGTTAGGGAGCACTTTCTTTTGTCATTGGTTGTTGCATAAGTTCACAACAGTTAAAAAAAAAAAAAAGACATGGTAATCTAAGGAAGAAAGTAGCAGATGAATCTGAGAAAGTAGGTTGGGAACAGACAATGAAAGGTCAGCCAGGCCACCTTAAAGAGGTTAGAATTAACTTTGTGTGTAATTTTCACCAAAGGTTTATATAGAGGGAAGAGGTACCATTTTTATATAGAAACATATACATATATATAGTAAAACTTTAGAGAGGGCAGAGTCTTGTTGAAGTAGAAGATTAAGTTAGGATATATTTGTTGACTGTAGAGGACTGCAGAGTGGTGTAAGAGGTAGTGGAGATGTTAACTGCAGAAGCAAATCTTGTAAAACAAAAAATCTGAGAGTGAAGACTCTCTTTGAATCTAGTAAGAATTGAGTTTGGTAATAAAAAGGAACCAGTTGGAGGAGAATCTGGCAGATGTGTGTGGATTTGAAATAAAGAGTAACAATGGACCACCATGCCAAGGAGAACTATGAAATGAGAATAATATTTGAGGAAGAGAAGTCAATAATTATCCCCATAAAAGAAGGGGTATGACAAAGCAGATGAGAGGTGAGCTAGGTAGCTCTGGCTATTAACCAGCATGCAAGTGATAAAAGCCAAGGATAGCTGGAAAAACAGAAAGAAACGAATATAAAACAAGTAAGAATAGAACTTACTTCATGAGTAGTACATGAAAATTTTTTTTTTGAAAAAGCTCTGTCACCAGGCTGGAGTGCAGTGGCGCGATCTAGGCTCACAACAACTTGTGTCCGCCTCCTGGGTTCAAGCGATTCTCGTGCCTCAGCCTTCTGAGTAGCTGGGATTACAGGCATGCATCACCACACCCAGCTAATTTTTGTATTTTAGTAGACGGGGTTTCGCCATGTTGGAACCAGGATATTCTCCATCTCCTGACCTCCTGATCTGCCCACCTTGGCCTCCCAAAGTGCTGGGATTACAGGCATGAGCCACCGTGCCTGGCTGAAAATACTTTTTTAAGACCTAGTACCAGACTTCTTTAGAGAAGTAATTACTAGTTTTTAGGAAAAGTGACTTTGAATAGAGAATGTGAGCTCTGTAAGGAAGGCTCAGGAGGAGCAAAACAAAGATCACTGATGTTCTTCACGAAAAGTAAATGAGAAGACCTCCTCCAACATGGTCGACTGAGCTTTCCTTTATAAACTCATAGAAATAATGGATAAAATATAATTATTGTTCTATAAACCATATACAACCGTAAAAACAAAAAACAGCAAAAAGGAAATTCTCAGTGCCTGAAATAAATTTTAAAAATTGAAGAGCAGAAAGCAGAACAGATACTGCGGTAGCCCTCCAAAATTTTATACTTGGCTATATGCCTCAGGAGCCAGTAGTTGAGTTTTAATGTCCAAGCACAAGGCTGAGCTTTGATGAGGCAGGTGAGCTGGAACTAAGCCCTTATGTAAAACCTGGAGCCTTAGGAATAGCCAGCTACCGGAACTGGAAAAAGGCAATCTACTAGTTTGGGGAAGCGATAAAGAAGTTTGTTCTTTGGGGCTTTGGATAGGGTGGGAAAAAAAAAACATAAGGTACCTATGAGAAATCAAAACTGCAGCCCTGCAACAGATCTAAATATACAATATTTGCATAATTCAGGAGCCACAAACTGAGAAATTATCATTTGAAAATGCTTCAGATCTTTAAGAGCTACGGTATGCTGGCAGAAGCAAATGCATAATTGTCTAAAGGGACTCTTTTGCAACTAAGGGTGTAAGAGAGTCCCATAAACAAAACCATCCCACTGAAGAAGAGCACCACATGAGGAAATAAATCACTGAGTAAGAGTCAGTGGAGGTCGTAAACAAGAGTTAGGAACTGAAAAGCTAAAAATAACAGAACTAACAGAAAAGAAGATAAAATAAAGACATATAACTTGATTAAAAGGACAAAATAATAGAAATCATAATGAAAGAAGAGGCAGAATTCACAAAGAACCAAACAGAACATGTATTTTAGAAAACAATATTGTCACTGACATTAAAATGAATGGGTCTAACCAGTCCCACTGGGTGAATGAATATAATAACCTCCTTTTCTATTCCTCATTTTAAATTATACTTAGCTGTGTTTCTTTGCAAGTTTGTCAAACAGGTTATATTCGGTGAACCCACAGTTCAAATAATATGGCGTTAGAAATAAAATACAGTCATGCGTTGCCTAACGACGAGATACGTTCTGAGAAACGCCTCATTAGGCAATTTCATTGTTGTGCAAACATCATGAAGTATACTTAACACAAACCTACATATTATAGCCTTATGATTCTAGACTACAAACTTTTATAGCATATTACTGTACTGAATAATGTAGGTAACTATAACACAATGTTGTGTTTGTGTTTCTAAACAGAAAGGGTAGTATGTTGCACTACGATGTTACAACATCACTAAGCAACAGGAATTATCCATTATAATCTTAAGGGACCACAGTCACATAATGTAATCAGACATTGAAATATTATGTGGTGCACGAGTGTATTCAAAAAGTGCTGCCAGGCCACTGCCCTCCAGCCTGAGACAGAGTGAGACTCCTTCTCTGAAAAAATAAAAGTGCTGCTAGTCAATCCAATGTAAAAATATAAACTTCCTGTCATTATCAATTCATTTCCTTGAACCTAAAAATAATCTCTCAACAAAATGAGTCTTCCTTACTTCTGCGGTAAAGTCCTTTCTTTTTTTCTTGTCCTTTGTTCCAAGGAGAAAGGATTCACTCGGGTCCCTGTGAGAAGAGCTTCTTTAGCACTCTAAAATTAGAAAAGTATACCCAGGAGAGAGCAGGTTCCTTCCAGTTCCCTAGGAGAGTAGAGCACCAAATATTTCTCCTAGGTCTTGCTTTGTGGCTGTATGTGTGTCCTTGCTGGTACTGATGATGCCTTCCATATAAGGACTCAGACTCCACTAGCTGCCAGATTTCTGCTTGAAACACTGCCCGCTAGCGTTGAAGCTTTCAAACGATTTTAATCCATGGTGATGAAGCAAGAACAGTGTTTTCTGTACACTGCATCTACCCTATACTCTCTGTTTCTACCCCTCACATCTCCAAATTAGGGGGCTTCACTGGCTTTGTGCCTTGGTTTTTTCCACTCACCTGTGTGATCTCAGGAGGCAGAGTTTCAAGTTAGTCATCAGTGATTTCCTCAAGTCCATTTGTCTTATATTTAGCAGCAATTCCTTAGTGCTTCTGGCACGCAATAAGACTAAAACTGAGAGATCTCCACCTTTATAAGCATTTTTCATTTTAATCAATGGTCTTAATGGGAGTAGTTAGATCTGCACATTCTTCTAACCACCCAGGAGTCCTTATCCAACAACAGTGCACTTGTGTATGTTTTCATCCATGTGACGTAAGTGTATCAGCTAGTTGTTAAAGTGCAAAGACTAACAGTCTGTCTTAACACATATTTCCATACCAAAAAATCACTTTATTTCACAACGTGACAAAGTCCACATTAGGATTTGTTGGCAAATTAAAATTCTTTACTCACAAAATGATAAAAGGAAGGAGACACAGCTCAAAGTTAATGTGTAAGAGTTAACAGAATCAATACAAGTGAATAGCTGTGGAGCCCAGGGGATGCAGGAATCAAGGCAGACAAAGATATCTGTTGAATTAAATTAATGTTAGGTCACTACCCATGGTTGACATCACAGAAGTGGATAAGCATACCAGAGTAAACAAAGGAATCCTTTCTTAAACAAAAAACCCATACAACTTATTTTACTCCCTTATCGAGAAATATTTTCAAAATATAAGCCCATTCCTGGTAGGTTAAGACCAATTCAGATGACTGCATTGCCATTCCAGGGCCAAGAAAGCAACTTTAAAAACATGACCTACGCTATGGTCTAAATGTGTCCCTCAAAATGCACATTTTGAAATCCTAACTCCCGAACTGACGGTTTTAGCAAGTGGCATCTTGGGAAGTGAGGAATGGGATTAAGGTCCTTATAAAATAGGCCCAAGCGAGGGCCTCTGCCTCTCCACCATGCGAGGACAGAGCCAGAAGGTGCTATCCACTAAAGAGAAAGCACCCCTCCCTAGACACACCTTATTCTGTGACATTCCAGCCTTCAGAAATGTGAAGAATAAACTTCTGTGGTTCATAAACTACCCAGTCTAGGATATTTTGTTATGGAAGCCCAAAAGGATCAAGCCATTCCAAAATAGCATTGTTGCCCACACCATCTTTTTGAACCTCACTTAGGGTAACACCATACCCATTCGGAGTTAAGCCCTTCCTAACTCTTAAGTATCAACGTGCTTGGAAACGTGAGCAATCCTGACACGTTTTTTCTTCCTAAAGAACAATACATACTAATAATAGGATCGGCTAATAATACTAGATTCTATGCATGAAGCCTAGTATTTAAAAGCATGCAATCTGGAGCTAGACCGCCTGGGAACAAATCCCAGCTTACTAGACAAGCTGTTTAACCTTTTACTTGGTCTCATTTAACTCATTTGTAAAACGAGGGCAATTTCTGATTTCATAGGGTTGCTACGTGGATTTTAAAAAGCCCCTTGCAATATAGCCTAATATTCAGAACTCAATAACATGAACTGTCTTAAAAGGTTTCCAGAAAAAATCCCCAACAGGTTAGGTCGGCTTATCATTACAACGCTTTCCGGTATAAGGGAGATGAATAGCTATTTAGCACCACACAATTTCTCCTCTGGGCTCGGAACAGCTCTCGGTAGACTACGATCCCTTTCCGACGTGGAAACTTCAGATAAAAACGCTCCCCGAGGTCCGAGGCCAGTACGGGGCGGAGCCAGGACGCGGGCCAGAGTCCCCCGAAGGACGGTGCCTCTCTGGCCCCAAGAAGTACAGCTTTTATTTTGCAGCAATCTGAGCCAACCCGAGAAGATTCTGAAGCTTCCAAAACAGAACCGACGAGAACACTCATAGAATGCCTCTCCACTTCCTAACTGTCGCTTTGAGGAGAGAAAAGTAAGCCACAGCCAGCACCGCAGACTGGAGAAGGCGGAGTCTGCAGTGTGCCTAACGCGAACTAGAGGGACCGAGGCGGGGCGGGGCTGGCGAAGCGCGAGGACCCGGGGCCGAGGTGTGGGGCTGACCATAGAGTGCCGGACGCCGGTGTGAACATACACTATCTGCTCCTGTAGTGCCCAGGCCCCTGCCGGGGAGTCCCCGGAGCTACCATTATCGAGACTCTCATTCTATTGCCCTGCGGCTTTAATCCTTCGAGTGTAGGGGAAAAATTGAACCCTAAAGACAGGCAGCTCCTAGGCACCAGCACAGGAAATAAGCAATGGAGGTGGGGTCCTTTGCTCGCGCCGAAATTCAAAGGAATAAATAGTTCCGGCGCGGGTGTTGAGAGCGGTGTGGCAGGTGTTGTAGCCGCTATGGTGAAGTTCGCTTTGTAGCGGCCCCGGCTAGAGAGTTGTTCTGTTCCCTGCCTTTGTGACCCGGAGGAGCTTTTGGGGTGCGTCAAGCCCCTGGCCTGAGGCAGCGGTGAGGCGTGTGCGTGAGCACGGCCGGTTGGGCCGGGCCAGACTTCCTGGCGGGAGGCGGGAGGCGGGAGGCGGGGCGCGGGGCGCGGGGGCTGTAGGGAGGGGGACCAGTGGCAGAGGGACCTTAGGTGATCCTTAGAAATAAAGGCTAGCTTCTGTTCGACCTTGGAGTAGGGCGAAGAGGTGTAGACAGGCCTGGAGAAGCGAGGTAAAAGCCTGAGTAAAAGCAAGAAGTTGGAGAATATGAGATACATCTCATCTCTAGTAAATACTTAAATGACTTCCCCTCCTCCCGGAGTCAAGCACAATTCGGGGATGCAATGACGGACGTAGGTGAAGACACTGCGGGAACTTACAGACAAGTAATGACCGTCTAATATCAGCTTTAAGTACCATGAAGGAAAAAGAAAGCCGAGTGAAGGATTGTGGAGAGGTGACATAGGGAGGTCAGGGAGGACTCCAGTAAGGTGACATTTGAGCAAAGACGTGAGTGCAGTAGAGAGTAAGCTATGTCAGTATCAGAGAAAAGCACATTATAGGCAAAGATAATGGGATATGTAATAATCCATAGTCTTTGTTTAGGTAGAGTATGATAAAAGTAGAAGGCAAGCCTGGAAAAACGGGTAGAAGAAATAGTTAAGACTTCCCAGTTGAATGGTTTAATTTCCAGATAGTGGCTAACTCTGGTATATTTTTGAGTAGATGAACGATGTCTTTACATCAGACAAGATAGTTTGTCAAGTGGCTGTTTTATTTCTATCACCCTATCGTTGCTGTTTTTGCCTCGTGTTCATTATGATTCCAGGTTTACATTCCACTTAGGTGGTGGTATTTCTGTTTCGTACAGAACTGGTTTGTGGCCTGTTTGATTCCTGTCAGAGGTTTGCTGACCCAAGACAGTATCGAAAATGCATATTAAGTCAATTATTCTAGAGGGATTCAAGTCCTATGCTCAGAGGACCGAAGTCAATGGTTTTGACCCCCTCTTCAATGCTATCACTGGCTTAAATGGTAGTGGGAAATCCAACATATTGGACTCCATCTGCTTTTTGCTGGGCATCTCCAACCTGTCTCAGGTAAAGTGTAAACTTTCTGATTTATTTGAATTTAAGTTGGCAGGAGAATCCTCACTGAACTTTGGAGACGTCCCGATATTCTCTTCATTTGTGTTTTTATACTTTTTGTAAATTACACCTCACTGCAACCTTTTAAGGAAAGTAATATTACTCCTTTAGATGAGAAAATAGAAACTTAGAGATGTTTAGAAGTAACAGTGCCTCAAAACTCAGGCATTCTGACTGTAAAGCAGTCTCATTCCAGAGTATTTTCAACCCTGTGTAATGATGCCTTTTCAAATCCTATTAATGGATTGAATGACTAGTGAAAATCTTTGGGACAGTATTTCCTTATATCTTGCAAAGTAACTTTTTATTAAAAAATGAATAGGAAACAATTCAATTCAGGGTTGAAAAGGTTCTGTAGAGAAAAGTGTCCATTGCAGGTTGTTGCCTATTTTCCTTGTTTTTCTTGCCAGAGGATGCAGCTGCCTAACCTTGTCTACTTAATGGACACTACGTTGGTGGGTTTTCCAACAGCAAGGGACCCATTTTTAGTGCTGCTTTGTACGGTAGGGAGTTTTGTAATTGTTACACTTTTCATATTTTATTTTAGGTTCGGGCTTCTAATTTACAAGATTTAGTTTACAAAAATGGGCAGGCTGGTATTACCAAAGCCTCTGTGTCAATCACTTTTGATAATTCTGACAAAAAGCAAAGTCCTTTAGGATTTGAGGTTCATGATGAAATCACAGTAACAAGGCAGGTGAGTGGCAATTAAACCTTTGGGTATCTTAAGACCTTTTATGTCTGATGTGGTTTTTGGCCCTATGCCTTTGCAAAACGTGCTAGAGAAAGTTCATGAGCAAAATTGGTGCCTTAAATTCTGACTAGATTCCTTAATGTCTTCCTTATATTAAAATCTTGATCATGCACATTCTATCACTAAGAGGATTGAAAGACAGCTGAAAAGTTGTTCATCCAGTATAAGCACTCAGCTATGCTGAAATCTTAAACCATATTTGAATCTTCTTTGGTTGTTCTTGAACACCTGTGTACTTGAGATCTTTCAATCTTCTGAGATAACCCATTCTGTTTTTGGACAGGTCTTATTAGAAAGTTAACAGCTATAAGTTTTGTCAGAGTCTGCTGTCTTCAAATTTTATTCATTAATCCTAGTCCTCTTGAGAGCACCAAGAGCAAATCTAACTTATTCCCTACTTCAGTGTTTAAGTGATGTGCAAGTATATGTGTTTTAGTTCTAAGTGAAATCTTGCCAGGTCTTTCACTTGATGTTTGTTCCTAGTTCCTTCACTTGCCTGATTATACCAAGTATGCTCCAGTTTCCCTCCCTGCTCCTGCATTCATCTATCTTTCTTTCTTTTAATGGCACCTTAGATTGGGTGTACCAAAATTGGTCTAGTTGGAGTTATTCTTTCATTTTAGATATTCTACTTTTATTTTTCCCAGTAGAGCATTGGGGTGTTCATAATACATTGTGGATTCATATTAGATTTACTTGAAACCACTCAATTTTTTTTTAGGTGTGTTATTAATATAGTCAGGCAGTGTTTTCAGCTTGTCAAGGTTTTTTTTTTTTTTTTTTTTTTTCCTGAGACGGAGTCTCGCTCTGTTACCCAGGCTGGTCTCCATCTCCCGGGTTCAAGAGATTCTTCTGCCTCAGCCTCCTGAGTAGCTGGGACTACAGGTGCCCACCACCACACCCGGCTAATTTTTTTTTGTTTTTTGTATTTTTAGTAGAGACGGGATTTCGCTATGTTGGCCAGGGTGGTCTCAATCTCCTGACCTCATGATCTGCCCGCCTTGGCCTCCCAAAGTGCTAGGATTACAGGTGTGAGCCACGGCGCCTGGCCCAAGATTTTGTTTTTAAAAATGTTGTCAACTCCTATTTACTGTCCATCTTATCATTTATCACTTACAGATTTTCTCCTCTATTTTAATGGAAGCCTCTGGTTGAAAAAAAAAAAAAAAAAAGAAGCGTAGGCCACGTTAGGACAGAATCCTGTTCCATGTCATTAGGCATCCATCAAATATTTATCCTTTAGGAACTGTCACTAAGTCTCTTACTAATAATCTACCTAATTGTTCCTGTCCTCATTCAGGCCATAAACTTGTATCTTCACCAAAATTATAAAATTTTTGTCAGAGAAGGGTCTTCAAATACATTAATATATGAACTACCAACCTAGTAGTCCTGTCAGGAAAAGAAATGAACTAACATTTATTCAATATTTATTAAATAGTTGATGTATATTGGGTGTTCTTGAATGTACTGGGATGTACAGTTAGAAGAATGAGAAACAGAGCTTGTCTTTAAGGACTTCAATCTGGTAGATGAGACAATCATACCCAATAAATGACAATTTAAGTGTGATAGTAGAGTATGGTGTCTGGGATGACTTAATGAAACCATACTGAAGCTCCATGATTACCCTTTCTTTTAAATGGTCATAAATCATGTCTTTATTAATAGCTTTTTGAATCTTGTCAAGAATTGATACTAAGCTACTTTGTCTGACATCTATTCCTGTTGAAAAGTAGAGAAAGCCTCTAGAAAAATTACAGAAAGAAAGTAACTAGGAAAGTGTGTTTTACATATACTTGGAAACATAAAGCTAGAAGTTACCTCGGAGACCTAGTCTGGTGCAGGCCAGGGTAAGAGGCTTGTGTGTAATTACATAACTAGTTACCAAAAGTACTTGCATTAGATACTAGCTGTCCTGACTCAAGTTAGCGTTTTTGACCATGTCATACTTGTTCCACTATTTATGCAGAATTGGTTTTGTTTACTGCTAGTCAGACAGAACAAATAAACGTAAGCTAATATACTTAGTTTATCCTAGCACAAGGTGTGCATGTACATTAATATTTAAAAAATTGCTTTCTTTTATAGGTGGTTATTGGTGGTAGAAATAAATATTTAATCAATGGAGTCAATGCCAACAACACCAGAGTACAGGATCTCTTCTGTTCTGTTGGCCTTAATGTTAACAACCCTCACTTTCTCATCATGCAGGTATTTCGTTTGAGGTCTTTATATCACTTTCGTAATAGTTTCGACATTTTTTACTTTTAAGCAATTAAAATAGAAGTACTTTATGTTTTGGATTTTATACTTTTTATTTACTATTGTGCTGTGTCCGGCCATCTGTTTAGAAATATGGTTTAGTTACTTGCACTGATATATTCTACTGGATTATAGACCTTTGACTCCTCTAGAATGTTTAGAAGTAATTTTTGTTGACTTTTTGTTTTGTCACTAAAAGAACAATACATGTTAACTGTAAAAAAAAAAAAGCCATAATATATCCTTTTAAATTATTGGATTAATGCATCTTAATATTTCAAGTATAAAAGCTTGAGTAATTTTCTTAGAGACTCACACAAATGAGGAGTAAAGGCTGATTTTATCTTACATTTACATTACTTCATTTGACCCATCCAGCTGCCGTTTGAGAGAATTATAGTAAAGTCGATGGGAGCATCTCAGTGGGACCAAAATAAAAATATTTCCACTACACACCTTCATAGTTGAAACTTTACTTTAAATGAATCTACATTCTAGTAATACAATTCTCTGAGACCTGGGTGTGCAGGTGTTTTGCTTTATTTGTTTTTGGTAATGAATAAATTTAATGGTTTTCTGGCATTGATGTAAAATATTGTATTTTGTTTGAGGCCTAGAAGTATGTCATCTGTTTTGTGAAATTATCCTGGAGGGTTATCATTCAAAGAAATGTTAAAAGTTTTTTAATTATGCTGAAATTTCTTTTTATATTTACCTGTTTTAAATTTGAATATTTCTACTTAATGTTAACTGTCTCAGAAACATGATCCTTGTTAACTTTGTATCATTTAATGAATTATTTCATTTGTATCATTTCATAACTTCCATAATTTGTATCACTGGTGAGAAAGTGAATAGCAAAGTTCCAAAATTCTAGAATCATAGAAGAATTATAGAGGAAAGACCCCCCCAAAGATTGGTATATTGAGATACAACAGCTTCAGTCTAGATAAACATGAATGGCAGTACAGATAAACATTTTCTGTAATTTGTTATCTTAGTAAGTTTGCTATTTTATTTTCAGGGCCGAATTACAAAAGTATTGAATATGAAACCTCCAGAGGTAAGAGTACTATTTATGGACATTAAAAATAGTTGGTATAGATATTACTTTAATCTTTCAGACAATTTTTAAATATTCTATTAAAATTTTTGGAGACATTATTTGGGAATGATTAGTAAAGACAGTTGTATATTTGTGTAATATTTGGCACTATGCCCAAATATTAAAATTGATTTTGATTGTATAAAGGAGTCTTGCTTAGCTGGTGTTTCATGTCAGAATTCATTCCTACAGAAAAAGCCTACAGGAAAAGGTTTGTGTGAAATTACTATATTTAACCTATATGGTTCATTTGGGCCAACTTTTGGTAAGATGTTTAGTGAGGTCAAGGCAAAAATGATATATTTAATGTAAATTCCAGTTGGACACATTGTCTTGGATACTAAACATTAATAAAATTGTCATTCCAGATTTTATCCATGATAGAAGAAGCAGCTGGAACCAGGATGTATGAATACAAAAAAATAGCTGCACAGAAAACTATAGAAAAAAAGGAGGCTAAGCTGAAAGAAATTAAGACGGTAATTTAATTCATATAAAATATTTTCGGAGAAGAATGTAATTTTGCATGTAGAGTTTTTGCTGTAAAGAGGGAAAAATTTTTTTCCTTGGTTCAGTTTTCCATAGTCATCCCTGCTACTTCTCTTTCAAATAAATTTTAATGATACTTTACATGCGAAAATACTGATTTTTCTTTATTTTCCAGATACTTGAAGAAGAGATTACTCCAACCATTCAAAAATTAAAAGAGGTATATTCTGTATATGTGAGGATAATCTATTAGAATGTCTTTCAAAGTCAGCAATGTATCCAAAATCATACACATAGTGATACTATTTCTTGGGGGTTTTTTTCCTGCGATGAGATAAGGAATTAGAGTTGGCACTCCATAACTCAGCGTTCTGCTTACAGAGGATATGCACTTATCTGCTAAGTCATAGGATATTGGAGAGTAATTTTTATAGTTTCAGAAAATGGTATGCCGAATTTTAATACTTTATTTAAGCTAAGCAAGTCTGGATTTTCCTAGTTAGTTAGCATTGACTGGAACAACATTTCTTAAAGATAAGGCACTCTTAGACACCCTCATTGAGAACAATTTCCAGGATAACAGGGGCTATCACTATAATTATTGCTATCAAGGTATTTTGTAAGCAAAAGGTATTGAAACAGAGGATTGGATTGTCTCTGTAATCTTTGCAGCTCCTGACTGTCAAAAGACATGGCACAATATGTCATCAAAAAATGCATTTATGAGCTACGTTTTCTTTTTCTTGAGACTAGTCTCACTGTCGCCCAGGCTGGAGTGCAGTGGTGTCATCACAGCTCACTGCAGCCTCCACCTCCCGGTCTCAAGGGATCCTCCCACCTTAGCCTTCTGAGTAGCTGGGACTACAGGTGCATGCCACCACACCCTGCTAGTTTATTTTTTTGTAGAGACAGGGTTTCTCATTGTTTCTCAGGCTGGTCTTGAACTCCTGGGCTCAAGTGATCCACCTGCCTCGGCCTCGCAAAGTGCTGGGATTACAGGAGTGAGCCACTGTGCCCAGCCAAACGACGTTTTTAAAGCTATCTCCTTTTAGGAATTTATTAAATGCTCATTGAAATTTGGTACTACTCAGAGCTGTCTTGTGAATCCATATAGTAGTATAAATTTTACTGGAAAAATTGTAATCTTGAAGATACCCTTTTTGTATGTATGATTTAGTAGAAAACACTAGATCAGGAATTTAAACTTAGGTCCTAGACTTCATTTTGCCACAATTGCTTTCTAAATCTAACAACATGGACAGATCATTTAATCATTCTGAATTTGTTTTTTATGTATAAATTAAGGATTTTAGTTATTACTTTGTCTGGTCCCAGTAGGTCCTTATGGGAGTCGTGTTTAGTAATGATGTAAGCGAGTGCTTGTAGTAGTGCTTCAAAGTATATTAGAGTAGGCATCTTGATACTACTACTACAGAATCCATGTAATAGTGTAACATGGTGGGTGTGTAAGCTTATGAACCTTATGTCCATATTTCTTTGTTAAGCTCAACTACCCAAGTGTGTGTTAGAAGAAATAGCCAAATAAGATTCACTAGAGATGGTAGAATGCTATCTAAAAGTCCTGACTTCTGATGTTACGTAAAGTTTCCTACAATTTAAAATGCTATAATTGTTTAATACAGGACAAAATCTATTATGTAATGAGAAATTTGTTTCATCTTGCATAATTGAATTTTTTTTTTAATACAATTTTGAGTTATTCTTTTTTTGTGATTTCTCTTTCAGGAAAGATCGTCCTACTTGGAGTACCAAAAAGTAATGAGAGAAATAGAACATTTGAGTCGTTTATATATTGCTTATCAGTTTTTGCTGGCTGAAGATACCAAAGTACGCTCAGCTGAGGAATTAAAAGAAATGCAAGATAAAGTTATAAAGCTTCAGGAAGAATTGTCTGAGAATGATAAAAAAATAAAAGCACTTAATCATGAAATAGAAGAATTGGAAAAAAGAAAAGATAAGGTCTGAACATATGTATAAGAATCGATAATATACTCTGTGAAAAACGTACTAAATTATATATAGTAACTATTTAGGATTCATTGGGCATTGTCTTCCGTATTGATTTGTTAATCTTATAGTAAGATAATGAAATAACTTATAAAAAAGTGTTTGATACAGAACTCATACAATAAAATGACAGCGTGAACAAATTTTACATAAGTGATTGAATTGACTGCATTTTGTTATAGGAAACTGGAGGTATACTTCGATCTTTAGAAGATGCTCTTGCAGAGGCTCAGCGAGTTAATACTAAATCTCAAAGCGCATTTGATCTCAAGAAGAAAAATCTGGCATGTGAGGAAAGCAAACGCAAAGAGCTGGAAAAAAATATGGTTGAGGTAAGTGAGCTTAATGTGCCACTAGTGCCACTTGTAGACAAGTATATAGTCTCATTAGTGTACATTTATCTATTCCATGAATATTTAGTGAGTGTCTTCTATAAGCTAAGTACAGTTGTTTGGGCTGTGGTTACAACTGGACCAAATGGTCAAAAATCCTTGCCTTGTGGACCTTCATTCCATTGGGGGAAATGATAATAAAGAAAATAAATAAAACATGTAACATGTTATAGAGTGATAACTGATGTGGAGAAAAAGCAGGGAAGGGGATTAGGAGTGTAGGGGAAAAAGAGTACAATTTGGGATTTTAAGTTGGATAGCCACTGAAGTAAGTGGAGAATAGGAAGAACGGGTTTGATAAGCTTAAGAAATACAGTATGAATATAATAGGCTTGAGGAGCCTGTTAGACATCTTGAGTAGTGATGTTGATTAGGTACTTAACTATATGAATATTGAATCCAGGCAAAAATACAGATTTGGAGGCATCATCAATGTATAGGTGTTATTTAAATCCATGAGACTAGATAAAATGATCAAGGCTGTAAGTTCATATAAGAAGGTTGGAGCCCTGGGATACTTTCAACGTTTGAATGTTAGGATAGTTCAACATTCAAAAGAGATTGAGTAGTGTGAGGAAAATTAGGCCAGTAAATTGTCCTGGAGTCCAGGTAAAAAAGATGTTTCAAGGAGAAGTGGCCATGAGTACCTGATTAGATTGTGTTCATACTCTCACAGAATGAAGGCAGAAAAAAGAAAAGTGAATATAGATAACTTTTTGAGAAGTTTTCTGAAAGAGGGATAAATAGGGAGGTAACTGGAGGGTAATACAGAAGAGAGTTTTTGGCTTGATTTGACATGGGATAAATAAATTCTATATTGACAGAAAAGATCCAGTAGAAAAGTCGTCATTTGTGATTCAGGAGAGAGAGATGGGAGAGTTGTTAAAATAGGGCCCCTTAGTAGCTGCAAGTAGGATAGGAACTAGTGTATAGAGGAGGTCGCCTTCGCGAGAACTAGGAATAGGTCATCCATGGTAACAGAAGAGTCAAGTATATAGTCTCACATGTAGGTAGATGAGTAGGTGTGTTTTTGGAGCTTATGGCATTTCTTTTGAGGGTGATTCTGTTGTCCCAGTGAAGGTATACATTTGCCTTTTCACTGAAAAAAAATTAACTTTGTGAAAATAATTTCTTTATACTGCCCTGTTAGATATTTTTGCAGAGAAATACATTGTTGAATTAAGAAACAGTGGAGGAAAATTTAGACAAAATTTTGAAGCGATATGAACGTGTTGTAGCAGTCTGTGTTGTGGCATCCAAGAACTGAAATCAATTCATCAATTACTTTTTTTTTTTAGGTGAGGTTTGTAAAGCTCTAAACATGTGGACCTGCCTTGTTTTGGGTTCATTTTTCTTTAGTCTTGTCATGTCCTTAAGCTTCACACACTGATTGCTCCTTTTTCATCCTTCTTTTCTGTATCCCCTTATTCTTCTAGATCTCTTAATGTTAGTATGCCCTAAGGCTAGCACTCTGATATCTTTTATAAACTCTCACGCCATAGGTGGTCTCATCCAGCTCTGTAACTCTAAATATCATCTATATGTTGATGCCCTCCAAATCTATAAGCAGGCTTAACTCCCTAAACTCTATGAAGCAGGTTTATTGTGTGCAGATTACCAACTTGTCTGAAGCCAGCAGACATAACACATTCATACACAACATTTTATGTGAAATGGATTTATTACTTATTGATAGGCAACAAGGGAAAACAGAAGTCTAGGATTCATTGCAAGCTGATCTCCCAAGGCTCAGAAAAGCTGCCTAGGGTGGTTTGAATTTTATTTGCACGTGCTCAACTTGCACAGCAGCTGAGGGACCCCAGAAAACAGCCTGCTCTGAGTTTATACCCTAGAGTAACATGAGACACTGGGCTGAAGCATTGAGATTATGTTTTAGGGCAGCTGGAGGAGCAGATAGAACAGTCCTGGCTCTTCTAACCATTGCCTCCCTTTCTTGGGATATTGCATTATCAGCACATTCTACAGTTATTCTTGAGAACTGTAAGCCAGGGAGGGAAGAACTGGCTTAGTCTAATGCCACCTAAGGAGTTGTCCTGTAGTTTATCCTCCAATCTAGGTATCCCCTCTAGCAAAACTAGTCCTTTTATTATGCCCACAGACTTCTCTGAAGCTGAAGGAGAAGGAGGTTTGTCTTCTTAGATGGATATAACACTCTGACTGACATAATCTCATTGCAATATTGTTGAGCCATAGCCAGAATACATTTCACTGTGCCCAGGAGGACCACAGGCAGGATGATCAGGCCTGCCTGGAGCACTGACTCAGCCCAGGATCCTAGTAATCCAGGTATGAAGTTGTTAAAGAGGTCAAAGAAGGATCCTTCGGACCTGCTTCCAGATCTGTATTTGTGTCTCTGCGATACCTGAGGTGTTTATCTAGATACAGCAGGAAGTGTTGGCAATCGCATGTATTCTTCCCACTTGTGCTAACAGGTTTAGAGCAGTTGTCTAAAACAACTTTCCCAAGGGATATCTGCTGGGCTGCCAAGGCAATGTTATATATGGTACCAAAGATTTTATAAAGCACTTAAACCCAGAGTCAGTAAAACCTCTTGGTACGTCCTGAGTAAGTCTGGTGTACAGCTTTAGGCTGCTGGCCCTATGGTGCATCTCATTTCTAGGAGTGATATGTAACGGCATCCCCCAGCATGCCCAACGTACAGGATCCCACCGTCTGCCCGCTTTCCAGGCCTGACATTGCCCATCTTCTGTTTGGGTCACTCCTACGCTGCCCATGGAAAATGATGTAGCCCTTGGATGCACATAGCACCCTTTCCCCCATTTTACTATTCAGTGACCCCATTCATGGGTAGGGAGGCATTGGCGTTTGCCAGCTAAATCTCGTTAGTGGTATAGTTACATAAGTTCAATTTCTCCCATGCAAAACTGTTCATGAAGCTCCTACACAGAAGGCTTGCAGCAGTTGATTCTCTTTCCTTCATCACCAATGGGACCTGCCCACTGAGGTTATGTTAGTTTTCATCATGATGTTTTGCCACAGTTAAGTTAAAATGGCATTTTTAGCACCCTTTTATGTGACAGATGCTATGTCCTCTCATGTAAGCCAGGGGTTGGGGTCTGTTGGTGTACACTGTGACATTAGGAATGCTAGGGTAGTTCACTACTAGCAGGACCAGATTGTCCCTGTGGGCTATGACAGAAATGTCCTGGATGTCATATCTAACATCTTATCATGTTACCCGCCATGGCCACAGCTTGGGAGGTGTTATGCTTCCAGGTCTTTGCTGCCACATCCTTGTGGAAAAAGTGTATTGACAGGTTAGTGCTCCCACCTAACACACTCCTGGGATCTCAGATGTTCCCAAGCTATCATAGGGATTGGGCTATGCATTGCAGTGCTGTGTTTCCTTTGTGCTAAAGTACAGTGTTTAGGTCCATAATGCCCTAGTCGGATGTTGGTACCACCTCACTAATAGGCCATCTTGATATCCTTCAGTGACTTTATGAGTAGGCTGTTTCATTGTTCAGTGGCTCCATTGGCCTGTGAATAACAGGGTGCATGGAAAGTCCACTATATTCCACAAGAGACTGCCCATTATCATGTTGCTTGGGCAGTGAAGGATGTTCCTTGGGCAGAGTGAAATATGATGAAGTATCAAAAAAAGACATATTTCTTTCAAGGGTAGCATCAGGGTCCACATGAGTGACATATATTTGTCCCTTTCAGGCAGCAAGTCCTTGTTTCCACATAGGGGATTTTTATTTATTTTATTTTATTTATTTATTTTTTTGAGACGGAGTTTCACTCTTGTTGCCCAGGCTGGAGTGCAGTGGCGCAATTTCGGCTCACTACAACTTGCACTCCACCCCCCGGGCTGAAGCGATTCTCCTGCCTCAGCCTCCCAAGTAGTTGGGATTACAGGCATGTACCACCACGCCTGGCTAATTTTGTATTTTTAGTAGAGATGGGGTTCCTCCACGTTTGTCAGTCTGGTCTCGAACTCCCGACCTCAGGTGATCCACCTGCCTTGGCCTCCCAAAGTGTTGGGATTACAGGCATGAACCACCGCGCCTGGTCCACATAGGGGATTTTTTTTAGCATTCGAGTCACTAAGTTGCCCTTCTCTTGACCAGATGACTAGGCTGTTGGCAATAGCCTATGAGTTGGTGAAATGTAGCAAGATATGGTGATGGGGTGGACCAAATGGACATCACCACTGCATGTAGTTTGACCCATTGAGCGTAATGCCCATGTTCAGCCTCAGTCAAAAGATGACCACTTACTGGCATGATGGTGGCTACAGTCAAGAGGATCCCTCCTGTTTTGTTTGATGGAACTTTCAGTAAACCCCGCCATACTATTAGTAGGCACATCTCAGAATCTTAGGACCCGGGGAGCCAGAGGAGAAGCCAAAGCATCCCCTGTGGTTTGTTTGGACCCTTCTAATAAGCTAGCCATTTTTTTCATGAAGCCTGCTGGTCCCTTGGGGTTCCAACTGGGCTTGATTTCAAATGTACCATTTCTGTTTGATAATCAAGCTCTTTTGAGCCTGCCCCAATTCATTGATAGGGTTTGTAAGCACCCAAGTAAGAGTGGGCAGTTTAAGTCACAGCGTCGCATGTAGTGCTCTGGCCTTAAGACACACGGTCTCTACCAGTGCACAATAGCAAGCAAGAAGTTACATTCCAAGAGTTATATCAGGTGGCTGCCTCAAGCAACTTAAAGTTCAACTTAGAAGAGGCTAGGTCTCCCCAGTGACAAGTTTCTGTTGCCATAGACTGCAGTCAGCATGCATGGAGGTTGTGGACACCTGTCATTGCATCAGGCTAACAGACTGTAAATGTTTTAAAAGCAGCACCAAGGCCACTACTTTAAATTGTTTTCTAAGGCCTGCTACTGCAAAGTCCGCTGTTCAAAGTTGGCAGCTTTGTTGGTCACCTGGATTAAAGGGGGCCAAAAAAAGACCCACATGGGTTATATGCTGTGTTTAGTACCCAAGAGACCTACCAGCTGTGGGGCTTCTTTTTCATTAGTAAGTGCCACCAGCACCAACAATTTTTGTTTGACTATATCTGGGATACTTCCTTGGCTTTCTGTCCAAGTGACCTTGACATTCAGCCTGTGACTATCCATTAGTCTTCATGCCCCAAAGGCCTTTCTGACTAGCCAGACTAGGCGAGTGCATTGTGACATTTTTATCTGTAGTGGGTTTTGAATTAAGAAAGTAGCGTCTTATTCTCCACTTGGTATGCAGTACTGCTTTCGCTGAGTAACTTAAGAGGTTTTGGGTAAGTCTTGAGTAACTTATGAGGTCTTAGGTGGCAGGCCGGGTTGGATATGCACCACTGGTATAGCTCAAATTCTTAGCTACGAGGGGCATACCTCCTCAGGTGGTGGTGATGTTCTGCACCACAAGCAACCAAACTATCAATATCCGTACTCAGTGGTGGGAACTGTGGTCACCAGCACCCAAAGTGACACAAAGTATCCTACTCACAGCAGATAAGCAATAAGCATAGTGAGTCATTACATTCACCTGAAACCCTCCCATGGTCATCAGTTTAACTTTTCCCTAGGAAAACTGGAAATATGTCCTGTGGGCTCCAGTATCCAAGAACTCCAGAAAAGCCTAATTTCATTTCTTTTTCTCATCTTGACAGGAGTATAGGGCCATCTCTGGTGGGGACCCGGAGACCTCGGTCCCACTCTAAACTATGCCATTTAGCCATTTGGATCCACAGTGTCCCTTTATCAAACAAACACTTCAGCCAGGCTGCATAAGCCTTTCCTGGACTTTCCATATACTCGTCCTCTAGATAGTGAGCCTCCTTTTCTATGAAGGTCTGCATTGTATGTGTTGGTTCTTTCAGATGCCTCAGGCACTGTCTGAGAACCTCTTTCCTGTTCCCTCTCGGGATCCATCTGACTACCCACTTCCCGAGCTCTCTGGCGCTGGGAATGAGCAATTACATGTGTCCAACAACCAGGAGATCATGATTCTGTCAGAGCAGACCCTACTAACTGCACTGATGGTGTGAAGCAAGTTCAGTATGCACTAGTTACCAACCTGTCAGTGTTAATAGAACTCACCCATACAGCACAAGTTATATGAAGCAAATTTATTTCCTACAGATAGGTAGTAATAGACAGTAAAATCCTAGGTTTCATGGTGGGCCATTCCCACAAGTGTTGGATGGAGTTTCATGTGTATGTTCCCCATACAGTTGAGGGACCCCAGAAAGCAGCTTGCCCTGGGTTTATACCCCAGAAATAGAGAAATGGGGGTGGTCAGCACATGATCCCCTGGTTTACGTGAGTTGCTGAGCTAAAGCATGAAAGGACATGCATATTTCTAGGAGGGAACTGAAATAGAGTATGGATTATTCAGGCCATTCCCTCTATCAGAATGTTGCATTTTCTAGCACATTCTACAGCTATTCTTCAACTGAGAAAGGGAGAACAAGGTTAGTCTAAGGACACCCAGATGACTGTCCAACAAACTCTAGATTTCTTTGTCCAGCTACTTAATTAACATTTTTATCTGGATGAGTTTTAAAAAGTGTAAAACTTAACATATCCGGAATAGAATTTAGCAATTTCCCTCAACTACCCAAACCCACCTGAGTTACTGAATTTTCCTCATGTCAGTGAATGGTACCACTATTTACCTAATTGTTGAGGCCAGAAATCTTAGAGTCCTCTGGATTCTCACCATTCTTTAAATATCTAGATCCAGTCTATCAACAAATTCTGTTAACTTTAAAAGCGTATTCAGAATACAGCCACTTTTTGTTACCTCCATTACTGCCAACCTCGTTCAAGCCATCACCTCTCATGAGGGCTACTGCGATAATGTTCTTATTAGTTGCGCTACTTTTTTCCTGTTGCCACTCTATAGTCTGTTCTTTACAGAAGCTAAAATATAAATTGAATCACATCACTTCTGTGCTTAAAATCCTTCAGTGGTTTCCGAATTACGCGTATGCTGTATGACGCTGAAACAACATGGTTTTGAACTGCATGGATTGACTTATTAGCAGATTTTTCTCAATAAATATATTGGAAAATTATTTGGAGGTTTGCAACAATTTGAAAAAATTTGCAGACAAATACCATATTGCCTAGAAATATCAAAAAAATTAAGAAGAAGTTAAGTTGTCATAAATGCACAAAATATATTTAGGTACTAGTCTATTTTATCATTTACTACCATAAAATATACAAAAATCTATTATAAAAAGTTAAAATTTATCAAAACATAAACACCATACTTGGCATTATTCATAGTTGAGAGAAATGTAAACAAATGTAAAGATGCAATATTAAATGATAACTGCATAAAACTATAGAACATACTACACTATTATAATAATTTTGTAGCCACCTCCTGTTGCTATTGTGGTGAGCTCAAGTAAACTCAGTGTGACATTAATCATTTACTTCTTAGTAGTTCACGTTTCCAGTAAGTTGCAGAGCTCAGTAGAAAGTGATCTCTTGTGGTTCTCGTGTATTTTTCATCACGTTTAATGCAGTACCATAAACCCGAATAACATGGGATCCATATGAAGTGCCACTAGTGATACTGAAAATGCTCCCAAAAAGCAGAGAAGTCAGGATGCTACAAAAAATAGTTGAGTGCTTGATAATGTACCATAGATTGAGGTCTGCAGCTGTGGTTGCCTGCCTTTCCAGACAGATGATTTATCTTGTAAACAGATAATATAAACTTATCGCATCAATAAATACACTACAGTACTGTAAATGTATTTTCTCTTATGCTTTTAATATCTTTTTTCTAGCTTTATTGCAAGAATACAGTATATAATGTAGCATACAAAATATGAGTTAATTGTGTTATGTTATTGGTAAGGCTTTGGTTAACAGTAGGCTATTAATAGTTAAGTTTTTGGGGGAATCAAAAGTATATGTGATTTTTGACTGTAGGGTGGGTCTGTACTCCAACTCCCATGTTTAAGGATCAACTAAATAATTGAATCTAAGTCTTTATTTACCATGGCCTGCAAGGTGCTTCATGATGTGACTCTTGGCTCCTTAGCCATTTACTCACTGTGCTCCTAGTCCGGTTCCTCAAACATTCAAACATGTTCCTCAGGGCTTTCAAGTATACTGCCCCACAAGTATTTGCGCAGTCACTCCTCTCACTTCATCCAGTCTTCTGTTCAAATGGCATTTCAAAGGCCTTCTGTTATTCTTCTTGAAGTAATTGTTCCTATCACTCTATTCCCCAACCTTGTTTTGTTTGATTACTATGTCTTCTAACCTTGAATATAGGCTCCCTTAGAACAGCGACTTAGTCTGTGTCTTTAATGTCTTAGAATAGGGCCTACTATATAGTAAGCACTTAATAAATATTTGATGAATCATGAACTAATCAAGTGGGCCAAAATTTGTTGTCACTTTAATTGTAAGTAAGATTGCTAGATTTTCTTTTTTCAGGTCTGGTATCTTGCATAGTGTCAGCTATCTGGTAGTATTACTTAAAAGGTGTTACATAATAGTAATACTTTTTCTGAAACTATTTAATGCTCAAATTTTATGGCTCTTGACAGTTTATAAAATATTTTCATATACATGCTCTTAATTCTAAAATCTCTACTTTTAAGCTAGTGTAGGATGTCTGTTATTTCAGTTTTACAGCTTTAGAAATTCATTTTTAGTCCCTTCAAGTGATTTGTTTAAATCTGCAATTATTATTTAGCCCAATGTCTCATGGATTTAATTTATAACATGGAATGAACCAGTAGTATAAGAGTTATATTTATTCTAAAAACTGAGAGTGAATTTCAAAATGATAATTCAGTATTTATAAAGTTATGATGGTTAAATTATTTTATTATGCTCACTCCAAATTGCTATGGAATTTTATTACATAAGGGTATGCGTATAAGAAAGTGGGTGTTTTTCCTGAAATATAATATTTTTCCATTTGAAACTCTTCCTAAAGGACTCAAAAACTTTAGCAGCAAAGGAAAAAGAGGTTAAAAAGATAACAGATGGACTGCATGCCCTTCAAGAAGCAAGTAATAAAGATGCTGAAGCTCTGGCAGCTGCACAGCAGCACTTCAATGCTGTTTCCGCTGGCCTGTCCAGTAATGAAGATGGAGCAGAAGCAACTCTTGCTGGTCAAATGATGGCCTGTAAAAATGATATAAGTAAAGCTCAGACAGAAGCCAAACAGGTAAATAGAGACATTAGCACTATGTGATTGCTTTTTTTTCCAAGAAGTTTCTTTTCATGTTATGCTTTGGCAATTGTTACATAATGTTGAAAATAATCAGTCTCAAGGAACTTGTTTGTTTACTTTATTCTGCAACTCTAATGCCTAATGCAGCGAAATTCAAATATGTTGATTGCTAAATATTGGTGATGTTAATTTGTGAAGATGCTGTACTACATAAATTATCTTAATTCGGTATGTAAGTGCAATAAATGCTTTGTTCTGTTTGCAGCATTGTGTGGAATTTTCGAGATTAATGCATTTATTCTTGTCTCTTTTTGGCTATTTTTATTTTTTATTGATAACATAATGTTGAAGTCTTAAGCTTTAACAGGAAAACAGGATTGTCCTCCCCATTGCTTTGCCTGCCATACCTAGTTCTTAAAACCTTGTTTCTCAAACTTTACATTTTTTTAGGAAGTATCTCTACCTCACATGTAGCCACATTCTAGTCTGCTCTCCCTACTCTGATTTCATAATCTTAAAAGTCTTGTCAGTCTATTATAATGTTTCTCAGATTTTACATAGTAGTGCAACTTACAGTCCTATGAACATAAGAATTTTGCTAGCAGAAAAAATACATGTACACAGGCACATCATTGTTTTGTTTTTAATGGAAGACACAGATTTTAAAACATGTACACAAATGTGTGTGATTATGCGTTAATCCTCAGGTTTTTCTCTTTATATATTTGCAACTTTTTCATTCAGGCATGACAGATGATAGTCACAAATTTATAAGAACTCTCAATAGTAGAAAAGCTTTAAAGTACTCTACTCTCAGTTTGTCTATTATTTTATAAGGGAACTGGGAAAAATACATCATTATACAGTTTTGGAGGATACCCCCATCTAAAACCCCATCTAGGTTTTAGAATACTAGTTCATAGTTTTAAGAAGCAGTGTTCAAGTGTATAAATTCTTGAAGGCCTGACACATGTAATTTAAATAGTTCTAGCATTTAATTATCAGACTCAGCATTTAAGTTTCTCTGTCAGTTTAGCTTCTTTTCCTGTATAATCTTACGTCTTATTGCTCAATTCAGTTTCTTTACTGTTATTAGATAGCACTCACAAATATATACACATACAAATATGAACAACTAAGCGGAAAGGAAAAGAACGAGAGTTGTGATTTCTAGCGTTCTTTTTTTAATTACCAGCTACTGACAGTTATTCGATATAATCCTTCAATTTGAATATGTCATATTTTATTAAAAATACGGACTTAAATTTCAAATTCTTTTACATATTAATCATATATTAGTTTATACTTTGAGTAGTTTTTTGAGGAGAAAATACTGGGAAATGACTAATTTGTTGAAATACTAATCCAAGAGACCAAACAATTAAACTTTGAAGGTTAAGGTCTCTTAGTAAAACCAATCTGAATCTTCGGCCATTTAATTACTAGCACTGTCTGCCTCATACATCCTATGGTCTGTTGCATTTTTCTGCCACAGGCTCAGATGAAGTTGAAGCATGCTCAACAGGAATTAAAGAATAAACAAGCTGAAGTTAAGAAGATGGATAGTGGCTACAGGAAGGATCAAGAAGCTCTAGAAGCTGTAAAAAGACTTAAAGAAAAACTTGAAGCTGAAATGAAAAAGCTAAATTATGAAGGTTTGCCTTTAAAAACATGATAATCAGATCATGAGGAGGTAGTGATTTTTGATAAAAAGCTAATTTAAATAAAGAACGCAAGCAAGTAGGAAACATTTCTTAGCCTATTAACAAGCATTAGTATAAGAAGTGTTGTAAATATCGTCAAAAAATACCTAATTATAAAACAACTCTTGAATTTTTGAGAACTCAGTATTGAGAATTTCCTGCTTCAATCATTTGAAAGCTCAAAAATGTCATTTGTGTATTTCTACATTAGGCATTCAGTTTGTATGTTATTTTTTGGAATGAAAATTGTGTTATTTGCCGTTGGAAATAATGTCTGTTTGACAGTGGATAGAAATAGGAAGGTTCAGCATGCTTTTTTAATACTTACAGAAATTTGTATTTTTTGCATGCTTTGGAAATAGTGGTTGCTAATATTTTCCTTAAAACAGTAGAGTGAGCTTTTAAAACTTGGTTTTAATTTATTATGATTTATCCTTCAGAAAATAAAGAGGAAAGCCTTTTGGAAAAGCGCAGGCAGCTGTCTCGTGATATTGGTAGATTGAAAGAAACATATGAAGCTCTATTAGCCAGATTTCCCAATCTTCGATTTGCATACAAGTAAGAGACTTAAGCCTTGAATTTTAACATAGTAATAATCAAGACATTTTTATTTAAGCTGGAAGCAGTGTGAAAATTTTGTCGAAACCAAGATTTTTGTATGAAACTTGTTGTAAGCTGCTTTTCTTTCATTGGTATTTTTCCTTTAAACATTTGTTGAAATGTTTTAAATGTTGGCAGGGAAATTCTTGTGAAATTTAATGGCTAATGATGCCACTAATCTTAAAATGAGGGAAATTTAATCTCAGTTCAAAATGTCTTCAGAGTTACTGTATCATTAATGTTAAATATCCACATTTACATCTTATAATTTGTTTTGCTATGTGGGTTTTTTATGGAATATTTACAGTAATCATATGTATTATAGGGATTAGAACATCAGAGTTGTTCTTACTACATTGAAACATACTGAAAGATCTATTGTGATTTAAAAACAACAGCTGGCTAGTCATTTGGGACATTTTAAAATTTTTGGTTTGTTAAAACCATTTTGCTGATTCTACTTTCATTTCACTTTAATGTGTTGTCCAAAAGAGCTCCTGATGAGTAAAGTATAACTTTTTCTACTTTATTATCTAAGATTAATTTTTGTCAACTTTTGTATTTCAGGGATCCAGAGAAGAACTGGAATAGAAATTGTGTGAAAGGACTTGTGGCTTCTCTGATTAGTGTGAAAGACACTTCTGCAACCACAGCTTTAGAATTAGTGGCTGGAGAACGACTCTACAATGTTGTAGTAGACACAGAAGTAAGTTGATTTTAATTTTAAAAAATTTAAAATTTGGTTAGCTTGAAAAGTCATGTGCTGCTAAAAGAATTAAATACTTTGATGTTTTAAGGCTCTCCCCTAAGGTGACTTATTTATAGGGTAAAACTATTTGGTTCATAACTTTTTGATAACTATTCCAAAGGAGGTCTCATGCTTACTCAGAAACTCAGAATGCATATTACCAATCTTAAACTTTTGGGATCTCTTTGCTGTATAAGTTGAATTTAATTTGTAAAATAATCTGGGAATAAATGACCTGTTTTTGATGTCAGTCTTCCCATCAAGGTAACATTGAATTTATTTACATTTCTTCAGTTCTCACTTATTATCCTTCTGTAGAATGCTCATATTCTTTCCTGTAAATGCTACGTAGTCATTGTCAAATTTACTTCCTTGTTTTTTTTTTAATTTATTTTATATATATATTTAAAATGTACAAGAAGCCTGGGTATGGTGGCTCACACCTGTAATCCCAGCACTTTGGGAGGCTGAGGTGGGCAGATCATTTGAGCCCAGGAGCTCGAGACCAGCCTCAGCAACGTGGCAAAACCCCATCTCTACTGAAAATACAAAAGTTACCCAGGCGTAGTGGCGTGCGCCTGGAGTCCTAGCGACTCTGGAGGCTGAGGCACAAGAATTGCTTGAACTTGGGAAGTGGAGGTTGCGGTAAGCTGCGGTAAGCTGAGATTGCACCACTGCGCTCCTGCCTGGGCAACAGAGGAAGACTGTATCTCAAAAAAAAAAAGAAAAAAACAAACGTACAAGATGTTTTGATACATATACATAGTGAAATGATTATTGTAGTCAGACATATTAACATAGCCATTCACCTTCCATAGTTACCTTTTTTGTGTGTGACAGCACCTAAAATTTACTCTTAGCAAATTTTCAGTATATAGTATTAATTATAGTCCTCATGCTATACATTACATCTCTGAATAGGTAGATTTATTTATCCTACCCAACTGCAAATATGTACCCTTTGACCTATGACCTACTTCTACCCATTTTCTTTCACTCCTCATCCCTGATAACCACTATCCTACTCTTTTTATTTGTTCAGCTTTTTTTTTTAAAAGATTCCATGTACAAGTGAGGTCATACAGTTTTTTATTTTTTCTTCGTCTGATTATGTCACTTAGCATCATGTCCTCTGGGTTTATTCATGTTGTCCCAAATGGCAGCATCTCCTTTTTCAAGTTCAAATGATGTTCCATTGCATATGTAATTATAACTTGATTGGGATAAATGGCACTAAACATTCATTTATTATAGACTACTAAACTTGCATTCTCTCAATTTTCTGTCATTTTTAACATGCGTTTTTTAAATTCAAATGTGTGTTGTAGGTTACTGGTAAAAAGCTACTAGAAAGGGGGGAACTGAAACGTCGATACACTATAATTCCACTCAATAAAATTTCAGCCAGATGTATTGCACCAGAAACTCTGAGAGTTGCTCAGAATCTTGTAAGTCTCATTTTGTCTTATTTATATGTTTAATCGTCATCTGTGGTTTTTTTAAGTTAGAAGACATTAATTTTGAGGGACATAATCATATGCAGAACCACAAAATTAAAATACAAAAAAATTGGGTTGGCTTGTGCAATTAGATGATAAGAGAATAGAGATGTTGGAAGACTTGAACTCCTTTTGATGCTTCACTTTGTGGTATTAGAATGTCCTTTTTAACCTTAAGTCACATGACTATCAATCAGGTGATGGTGAAAATTACACTCTTGATTCCTGAATGGTTAGAACTGAGCTTCTAGATACGTACCCCAAATTCTTCAAGTTTTTGTTTTTGTTTCTTTTTATGTCAGGCATACTAAAACTGCCCACAGTCACAGCCATTATGGAAGGCCTTCATTAGTATTGCAGTGATGCTTCTTTATTAGAGTTCTTCTAGATTGCTATTCAGCCTGTGCAGGTACATAGCAGGTGACCAGGATCCCATTCAACTGCTGACGTTGATCTAAAGTGACATGCTTGCTAGTAAGAAAATAGATTAGTACAAGGAAATACATTTAAAAGTTATTGTAGTTGTGTAATACTGTAAAAACATGAAGTCAGTCATAACATTCAGCTGTAATATCAGTTTTTTTATTGATCAGACATTCCAAGTACATCAGTTGAAAAGACATTTCTATGAAACTTAAAAATATACTTGTAACTAAGTGGATGTTGTTGTATCCTTAGTTACATTCAGAAGATTTCAATGCAAATGATTTCAAAATACAGTTGTGTTGATATGTATACTATCAGGAGAGGGAGGATGAGTGCTGAGTAATTGAAAGGTGATGTTTTTGGTTGGTACTTTCTTTACTTGAAAACTCACCATTAAGTCAAGAAGGCTCAGGAAGTTAATTCAGCCATACATCGAGTCCCAGCATTAGAAGGAAATTGGGATTTCAAGTAACAGCAAAAATACTTTGCCTCAAATCCTTTAGCCAAACCTATTTGATGGTAGCTGCCACATCAAAGAACAATACTGAACATGTGTTACATAGAGCTTCCTTCATTGTGACTGCCACTGCTGATACTAAGCTCTAAAAGAGATGCTTAGTTTTTCTTAAATGATGGGCAGAGGTAGCCTCTATAAACAAAGGCTGAGAAGAAGCATTGTGATCAAAATAGAGGACTGGGGATTTTTTAAATTACTTTTACTCTCAGTTATTGTGTTTTCATTTCTGTAACTGGCAGACGACTGCTCTAGCATGTTTCATTTGTATGAGAAAATATTTGTTGTGAAATCAAATTCCTGATTATTGAAACAACATTTTCATATAGTTGTGTTGATCTGGAAATTATAGGTTAAGCACTCCAAGTCCAACAACTGAAATTTTCCAAAATTCAAAACTATGACACCCAAAAAATGCTCATTGGAGTATTTTGGATTTAGAAAGTTCAACCACTGTAATACAAATATACCAAAATCTGAAAACAAACACTTCTGTTCTAAGCATTTAGGATAAAGGATACTCAATCTGTACTATAATTAAAGTTGTGTCCAGTCAACGTTGGTGAAGGACACTTAGAAACATGGTAATGGCTCCTTATTGATAGAAACTTTCATAATGCTCCATACTAGCTATTAATAAATATTTTACTTAGCAATAAATCTTTCAGTATTTAAACCTGCAGTTTTTTTTTCCTGAAACTTTGAGTTTTACATAGCTTTTTAGAAAATTCAGAAAGAGTTTTAATGCTAGGTAAGTATTATTTAAGTTTCTATTACAGCAGTTTTTACTGGTTTATAAAATCATATCTGAAAGGAAAAGTAGTAGTATGTACTGTGGCATATCTGTTGTTGTCCCACAGGTTGGCCCTGACAACGTTCATGTGGCTCTTTCCTTGGTTGAATATAAACCAGAACTTCAGAAAGCAATGGAGTTTGTCTTTGGAACAACATTTGTTTGTGACAATATGGATAATGCCAAAAAAGTGGCCTTTGATAAGAGGATAATGACTAGAACTGTAACTCTCGGAGGTGATGTGTTTGATCCTCATGGGACATTGAGTGGAGGTAAGTTTTATATCCTTTTCTCCTCACAATTCTTTGTGGTAAATAGGAAGATGCCTTTTTTAAGTACATTTTTAGCCCAACTACCCACTTCTTCAGGAAACATGTTAACTTCTCATTTGTGTGTTTGCCAGTGCCACCTACCTCCTGTCAAAAGTAAAACAAAAAATTAAACCTGCCCTTGAAATGGTACCTTAATGCCTTAAAGGAATTCTTAGACAGTGATCATATTCTTCTTGGTCTAGTATTTGCCACACTGAGTTTGCAGATCTTTGTCAAGACAATAGAATAACAAACACTGAATAATATTTACTGTATACCAGACAGTGTTCTACACTATGCTGTCCAATACAGTAGCCACTAGCCATATGTGACTTTTTACATTTAATTAAGTTAAAAGTAATTTCCTTGGTTGCATTAGTCACATTTCAAGAGCCCATAATCACAAATGGTTAATGGATAATTCGACAATGCAGATATAGAACATGTCTATCATTCTATAAAGCCCTATTCTATGGGCTTTAAATAAGAATTAGTTCTTAATAACAACGATGAGGTAGGCATATTATTATGATCTCTAATATACAGTTGCAGAAATGAAGATACAGAGTGCTTAAATAACGCACTACAGGGTGGCAGAGCTTAGAATCTGAATCCCAGCAGTCTGATTTCATAGTTTGTGTTTTTAACCCAGTAGACGGCATAAAGCCACTTGAGGTATCAAGTGACTTAATGTTGCTCTCGGCCACGAAAACATTAGCCGGTTCAGTGAATTCCATGACTAGGTATCAGATTCTCCAGTACACAATCAAATGACTAGTATCTGCAAATGGAAGATAAAAAGAGACTGTGTTTTTAAATGTCTACAAGAGAAGAAACTTTTTAGATTTTGTTGATTCAGATGCTTTTGAAGTTTTTACTTATAGGATATGAAATAAGTAACCCCGTATTTTAATTACAAAGTGTTTAAAAGCATTTTTAATTGACCTTAGCATTCTTCCATCAAACCTGTGGAGTTTCTTTGTCAACATAATACCTCAACCTGTGACTGCCAGATAGTTATAGTTGCATAATGTGAAATCGGCTTATTCTGCTTGCCGTGCTGTATCAGAACTTAGGTCAGCCCCGAAATCTTAGCTTACAACAAATTTATTCCATGTTTATGCTACATCTGCTGCAGATCAGTTGCCTTTCTGCTCAGTGCTATTCTCATTCTGGGACTCAGTGTGAAGGAGTAGTCGTCTCTGTCTTGAACATATTTTTCCCATGGCAAACGGAAAGCAAATGGTGTACTGCCTCCTAAAGCAAATTATGTACTGCCTCCTAAAGTTTACTTTCAGAAGAGACACATTTCCCCATTTCATTGGCCAGAGCAAATCACGTAGGCAAGTCCAGTGTCAGACGATGGAAGATGGGCCCAGTAGACAAGGCAGTGGTTATTTTGAATAAATAATACCTACTACAACCTCTTGGATCTGTTATGAGTTCTCTGTGTTCTAAGGTTCAGGTGATGGAATGAATTCCATGGCTTCATAAGCTCATTAAAATATTTACTATTGAATCAATTTGAGTATAATTCTCTTAGAAGACTTTTTATTGTGTAGTACATACCTGGTAACAATGTGGAAGACCTGTTTCAATTTGCCTCTATCAGGTGCTCGATCCCAGGCAGCTTCCATTTTAACCAAGTTTCAAGAACTCAAAGATGTTCAGGATGAACTGAGAATCAAAGAGAATGAGCTGCGGGCTCTAGAAGAGGAATTAGCAGGTCTTAAAAACACTGCTGAAAAGTAAGAACTGCATATACTTTTTTTAATTAAAGATTTGCATAGTAGAAAATGATAGAAAATTTACTTTTATTTCAAGAAATACAGCTTCTGACTTTTCTCATATTTTTGGTTTTATTTAAAATGTTTGATTAAATTGTGAGTTGATAACTTACCATTTATCCATTTTTTTCTCATAAGAGAGATGTCTTTGTTAAGAAATTAGCAAAATCTATTTAAGCAAAACAAAACAAAAAAATCATTCAAATATTCCATTCTCTCTGCTGAGAAATAAACTAGCACTTGGCTAGGGTTGCTGGGGAAACCCTTCGACACTCTGGCGTCTGATACCAGAGGATACTTGATTTCTTGATTTGACATGAATATGATACAGTATAGCATTGATCAGGTGCCCACAGTAAGTTTAATAGCATTGTGGCTGTCCTACATATATCAAGGATCTGCTAGGTTGCCTAGTGAGCAGGTAAACAAGTTCATGTCGAATATCAGCACTAAAATTTCAGTGTTTCCTTACAGTATTTCTTCTGTGTAGGTATGGATAAGATATGTATATACTTTCCAACATCACTTCTATTTTTGTATAATAGAGGTATATGTGAATTTTTATTTTTTCAATATTGGGATCATGCTAATGTAACCTTTTTTTGTCAGTCAGTAAACATTTATTGAGTGCCTCCTGTGTGCCACATACTCTTCTAGGGGCTGGGGATCAGATAAATATCCCTGCCTTCATCTAGTTTTTTCTTGTTGGAGAAGCGGATGATAAAGAAAGATAAATTGGTAAAACATGTTACTAGTTCTAAGAAGAACAAAGTAAATCAGGAAAGGAGATAGGAGCTATCTAGGGCAAAGACATGTTAAAATTTTATATTGGGTGGCCAAGAAAAGCCTCACTGAGGACATGATTGTTGAGTAAACACACGAAAGAGTGAGTGAACAAGAGTGAGTGAACTGGCTCTGTGGTTATCTGGGAGAATAGTCCCCACTTGAATTGAAAGCTTCATAAGTTAAAAGAGCTACAAACTTAACAAAGTGCATTGTTTGAAAGTTTGGCCAGGCCTAGTGGTGCACACCTGTAATCGCAGCACTTTGGGAGGCTGAGGCGGGTGGATCGCTTGAGCTCAGGAGTTCAAGACCAGCTTGGGCAACATGGAGAAACCCTGTGTCTGTAAAAAAACACAAAAAAGTTAGTCAGGCGTGGTGGCATGTGCCTGTGGTCTCAGCTACTCAGGAGGCTGAGGTGGGTGGATTGTTGGAGCCCTGCAGTTCGAGGTTGCGGTGAGCTGAGATTGTGCCACTGCACTCTCTCCTTGGGGACAGAGTGAGACCCTTTCTCAAAAAAAAAGAATTTTTTTTTTAAAGTTCAATTGTTATTTTTTCCAGTATCTCTGAAGATGACAAATAGGGACTGATTTAAAAAGATTTTATTCAGAATTCACAATACTGAATACAATTTAAAAAATCTAAATAAATGTTGAAATGATTATTTTTGGGTATGTTTTTAGCATTCAATTTCTGTAGTTATGAAAGCTTAAAATGGCACCAAGACTTTTGAGGACACTAAATATGAGCAAGATTTTCATAGTCAGGATGGCCATTCAGAGATATAAATTGAATCAGAATTTGTCTTTTTCTTTTTTTTTGAGACGGAGTCTCACTCGTCCAGGCTGGAGTGCAGTGGCCCGATCTCGGCTCACTGCAACCTCTGCCTCAGCCTCCCAAGTAGCTGGGATTACAGGCACTTGCCACCACACCCGGCTAATTTTTGTATTTTTAGTAGAGATGGAGTTTCACCACGTTGGCCAGGTTGGTCTCGAACTCCTGGCCTCAAGTGTTCTATCCTTTTTACTTTCAAACATCACATACATGTAAAGGCCTGCATTTTACCTTCATGAATATAAATTAACCATAGAGTAAATGAATTTTTTTCTGTGAGAAGAGTAGAACAGAATTTTTCTGTGATATGTGGAAGCTCTAACAAGGTGATGAGTTTGTAGTTAGTTACATTTGGCTTAGAACTGTTAATTTTGTTCAGTAGTATTGGATCATTTATTCTGCAGAATTGAATTCTTTGCTATTTGTGACACTGAGGTCAAGGAAGGAAAATAGATTTTGAAAAAAATGAGAATGGTGGAAGAATCAGCTAAAGCCATTGTTTCACACCATATCAGGAAAGTAACATCTTTTAAACAAATATTTCTACATTCCACATTTTTAAATTAATTTGAAGTTAAAATTATTGTTTTAAGTACTGTCAAGTATATCTTCAGGCAAGAATACTCAAGGTAGTATTTATATTTTATAAGTTTTGTTTTTTTTTTTTCCTCAGACCTCATGATTTCTAGTGACAAGGTACTTTGTGAATTTGTATTAACTTGAAATTTCACTGCAACTGAATTAGCTAAATACCTTTCAAAAGAAATGACTAAGCAGCCAGAACAGGGATAGAATTACAAAGTTTTCAAGAAAGTGCATTTTAAACAACTAAGTTCAAAACTATTTTTCTTACACTAAAAGTAGGGAACATTATTATTATTTTTAACATTTGAAAATGAGGTTAATAAATAGATAACTACATTTTTGAAATTTTATGTAATTGTTATAATTAATCATTTTTCGTGGTGAGTAGTTGGTTTGATTTTTTTTTCTTTTTAGTTAGCAAGAGGGATTATTTTTAAGGAAACCTAGCTGTTAAATATTTCTAATGTAAATAGTTGTTACAGATTTTAGTCATTTAGAGTTGTTCACCTTCAATGACCAGATCTAAATTTGAATTAATTGGTGCCTCAGAAACTTGAAAGCCGTCAAAATTATTCCTGTAACCAGTAGCATCTTATATTGTTTATAACGTATGTGAGTTTATTTAAGGTAAGAATCTGAAGTTTGAATGTATTTCTCAAATACCAGAAAAATGACAGTCATTTCTTACATGTTTCTGTTTTTGTAAGGTATCGCCAACTAAAACAGCAGTGGGAGATGAAAACTGAAGAGGCAGATTTATTACAAACCAAGCTCCAGCAAAGCTCATATCACAAGCAACAAGAAGAATTAGATGCCCTTAAAAAAACCATTGGTAAGATGAAAACAGTCCATGCTTAATCTCTGGTTTTATTCATATCCGTTACCTTACTTTAGGTATCTTCTCTACCTGTGCTATGTTTAAGATATATATGATAAAGTTTATTTAGGGAAAATCCAAGTATGGGATTTCTAGGTCTTAGGGTATGGTCATTTTCATCTTTATTGTATATCGTCAAAGGTCTGTTCGTTTTTACCAATACTCATTTCCACCAGCAGCATATGAACATTTCTCCAAGTTCTTTTTTCTCCAGACTTTTAAAATTTTCCAAATCTGTTGGTTGTGAAAAGATAGCATGCATTAGCATTTAATTTGCATTTCCCTAATTGCTGATGAAATTTGGGATCTTTTTTTGTATGTTCATTGGACCTTTGGGTTTATACTTGTGTGAATTTTCTGTTTATTTCTTTTGCCCATGGGTTGCTCATGGTTTTTTTCCCACTGTTCTCATGCTTAAGAGTCCTAATTTCCTGTAGGTTATGTGCATTGCAAATATCCTTTTACCATCTTTTTTGGCTATGTACTGGTCTTTTAATTTTGTGTTCATAGTATTTTTGTTTTACAAAAGTTTTTAATATTTAGTGTAATTCACTTTATAGCCATTTCCCTAATTTTAAGATAGCTTATATGTTTTCCTTAGAATTTAATTGTATATGGTAGTTTAAATTTTTGTCATTCATTAGGACAATATCCACACATGTGCTTCTCCACTAATATTTTAATAGTATTTTCTGCAGTGAAAAGTAGTGTAAGAAATTGTGCGGTAATGACTTCCAAGGTTATGTTTGCACCTGGGTCCTAACACTCACAATATACATCAGTTGTTACAGCAACACGTGTTCATTCAGTATTGCCCTTTTATTTATTTTTTTGAGACGGAGTCTCTCTCTGTCCCCAGGCTGGAGTGCAGTGGCGCAATCTCAGCTCACTGCAACCTCCACCTCCTGGGTTCAGGTGCCTTCCTCAGCCTCCCGAGTAGCTGGGACTACAGGCGTGCATCACCACACCCAGCTAATTTTTGTATTTTTAGTAGAGATGAGGTTTTATCATGTTGGTCAGGATGGTCTTGATCTCTTGACCTCATGATCTGCCTGCCTTGGCTTCCCAAAGTGCTGGGATTACACAGGCATGAACTACCACGCCTGACCTTATTTTTTTCTTTCACAGATTTGGGGATGTTTTTCCTTTGCTGTATCCCAGGCATACTGTCATATTATTTGTCGACTTTAATGAGAAGTTCCCTGAATATGTATAAAATAGGCAAAGAACATAAAGTAAGCTTGTTTATGAAATTACACACTTTCTAGCAACTATAGAAAAAATACCATAGTTATACTGTTCTGGTTTTAGGAAGCATACAATTGCATTAAAAATATGATCTGTGATTTTTTTTTTTTTAATAGGTTGCTTCAATACCTTTGTAAAAGGATAGTTGTAGGTAAAGTTCAATTTCATAGCAAAAGAAATTATTTTGTTACAGATCTTTAGATAATTCAAGTATGGCTTTTGGGTAGGATCTGTGTTTCATTATACCATTTCTAGAATATCATTGGGATAGTTAATTTTCTTAAATTGTACCCTGTAATTTTCCAAACCATTTCTTCTATTAAAAGTTGAATTTGTCAACCTTTACCATTGTTAACTTAGCCACATTTGCTTACTTTGTGATGCAGAGGAAAGTGAGGAGACTTTGAAAAACACTAAAGAAATCCAAAGAAAAGCAGAAGAAAAATATGAAGTATTGGAAAATAAAATGAAAAATGCAGAAGCTGAAAGAGAGCGAGAACTGAAAGATGCTCAGAAAAAACTGGATTGTGCCAAAACAAAGGCAGATGCATCTAGCAAGAAGATGAAAGAAAAACAACAGGTAATAACTTCTTTTTGAAATTGAACCAACCTTTTAAAGTCAACATAGAGCTGAAGGTGGTAGAGCATCATTGGTTGACCTTATTCATCAGAATTGATCTCAGAATCTAAAAGGGAGCAGTGTTCTTTGGAAACAAATTATGCTTCTTACAAGTCAAAGGAGTATCCAGGATGAGCATCTCAAATCCAAAATACAAATTAGAAACTTTTTGAGTGTTGATCTGAGGCTCAAAGGAAATGTTCATTGGAGCAGATTGGATTTGGGATACTCAGTTACTCTGTATAATGCAAATATTCCAAAATCCAAAAAAAAAATCTGAAGTCTGGAAGACTTCTGGTCCTACACACTTTGGATAAGGGATATTTAATCTGTATTTTTCTCTGAAAACCCTGCAATCGAGTGTTTCATAGTTGTGAGTAGGGGATGCTAATTTTAAGGAAAGGGCAAAGTTGACGGTTGGTAAATGCTTCCTTCAAGAGTGGATGGCCTTTCTTCAGGAGTGGATTATTTGATATTCTGGATGTCATATCAGAGATTCAGCAAGTTGACATTTTTATTTGATAAGCACCTAAATGAATGTGCACTGTGAGAGCATAATGGAAGACAAAGCATGTTATATTTACAAGGTGTCATTCAGTTGTAAACTGATGATACTTTGTTATATCTTTTAGCTAATGCCAAAGCTGGAATCTGAACCTAGGTTTTTGTCTCCAAAGGCTACGTTGTTAATCACTTTTATGCGATTTCACCTAAATATATTTCCCTCGCATTTTTTTTTAGCCCACTCTAAGATTCTTGTCATTAAATAGCTGTAAAAAGTATTTTCTAATGCAGGGGTCCCCAACCCCCCAGGCCACAGACCAGTAACAGAGGAGGTGTGTGACAGGCAAATGAGGATTACTGCCTGAGTTCCACCTTGTGTCAGATCAGCTGTGGCATTAGATTCTCAGAGGAGTGCAGACCCTTTTCTGAACTGTGCATGCAAGGGATCTAGGTTGCATATTCCTTATGAGAATCTAATGCGTGATGATCTGAGATGGGGTGGTTTTATCCTGAAACCATACTCTCTCCCTGTGCCCGCCATATGGAAAAATCATCTTCCACAAATCTGGTCCTCGGTGCCAAAAAGGTTGGGGACTGCTCTTCTAATGAACTGAAGGCTATAGTGGGAAAGAAGAATATTGAGAAACTTTTTACACATTGAACAATTTTGTTTTTAAAAAAGCTTTACTTCCAGTAATTCATCTGTTACGTAGAATGTTATATTATTTTCCCTATAGGAATAAAGGATAAAGAAAATAATTTATGCAGAGTTCTTTGAACCTATAAAAATTACACATACTTTTTTTTTTGATATAGGAAAATAAACTTCCTTTTCTGGGGAAGCAGCTTAACCTGTACTTTCGGTAGCTGAGTGGTAACAAAGCTGTGGGTCTTACTTGCATGAGATTATTATTTATTTAATTGTTCTGTACATATTTGTTTTTCAGTAGTTAATAACCTATATGAATACCTGAATACTGTATTTTTTATAGGAAGTTGAAGCTATCACTCTGGAACTGGAAGAGCTCAAGAGAGAGCATACATCTTACAAACAACAGCTTGAAGCTGTAAATGAAGCTATCAAATCCTATGAAAGTCAGATTGAAGTAATGGCAGCTGAGGTGGCTAAAAATAAGGTAGGATTTATTTATCAAATTCGAGAAATTGAAAATGCGAATCTTTTTATGAAACATTAGCTTAAGATGTTTGACTTTAGTGTTCTCAGTCTTTTCACTCGTCATCATGAGAGAATGAGGCACAAATAGCTTTTACTCATCCAGAATTGCCAGTTTTGGGATCACATAGGTCAGTCAGCTTCTAGCAGTCCCTCTTCTTCCTCACTTAGTTGATTCCATCTACATTACATCTAACAAAAAACGCTCTCATTTGCAGCATGAGCGTGCAGCATGAGCATTGTACCTCCCACCCCTTTTACCAGGGATGATCCAAGTTTTCTTCTGTGTATAAATTGATTAGTCCTTTTAATGGTGATATAAAATATAGAGGGTTAGGTGATCATCTCTCTGCCTGTAATCACATTGCCCTCTTGCCCAGGGATCTGTCAGATAATTGTTTAGTAAATTAAAATTATTTACATGTTACCTCACCACATATTTTCTTTAATTTTTTTGTTTTAGGAGTCAGTAAATAAAGCTCAAGAAGAGGTGACCAAGCAAAAAGAGGTGATAACAGCCCAAGACACTGTAATTAAAGCTAAATATGCAGAAGTGGCAAAACACAAGGAGCAAAACAATGATTCTCAGCTTAAAATTAAGGAATTAGACCACAACATCAGCAAACATAAACGGGAGGCTGAAGATGGTGCTGCAAAGGTATACGTTTGTGTGCATTTTTTATACTAAATCAAATTTTTGTTACTGAGCTCTTGAAAAAATTTAGAAAACTGCTTGATAGAGAACTCTATAAATATAAATGGCAAAATTACAGCCTGGCATAAATTTGAGCTTGCAGCTTTAACTGCTTTTCAACAATGCTAATTTTCAACAAATTGCACAAATGTTTTATTTTTAGATTTAACTTTAGATATTTTTTCCCATCTACAGGATGTATTTACCAAATGTTTAGTGGTCTCCCATGGAAATAACTTTTCACCTCCAAATGTTGATAGAACTAATTACTGATGTGCTAGTAATAATGATATATATTCTCTACCTTATTTCAAATTGAATTAAAAAACTCACAGAACTATATATACAGGTAATCTAAAAAAAGGACTGAATTGGCTTCCACATGTCTTTATGAGTGTTACTGCTGTCAGTATTTGCAACTTTATAAAAAATCTGATGTTTTGCCAAGCAGCTATGTTTTTGAGGTTATCCCAGTTTCTTTCTTTCATGTGTCACAGCACCTTTACTTCAGTGCTTTAAAGATAACACGTGCTTTTGCAGAAATTCATTGCTTGGTTAAGAAGCTGCATTCACATGGTATTAATAATTCATCTAGCATGTTTTCTTATGAGTGTGTAACAGTTTGGCACCTTTTTAATGTCCAGGATATTTTTTTTTAGCATCCTAAAAATACATGAACTTTAACTTCAGAAAGATCAAGAACATACAAAACAATCTCCCTCTCTTCTGAAAGAACTGTGGAACTTGATTTAAACAACATTTTTCATGGCTACATTATAATCTACCACTTTATTACTATTGATTTCCCATTAGCTTAGTGATAGTGGACTGACTGAAATACTACCAATGGCAATGTTACTGCTAATAGTTTTTTGGTAATTGAAAATGCTAGTACTGGCGATTGCTAGGAGATTTTATTTACAAGAGTAAAAGGAGGGACTTGCAAGTGGGTCTGCTAAGAAGTCAATCAAAGATTTATACATACCTACCAGTATCAGATACTGTGCCAGGCACTGACAATGTAAGGATGAGCAACACATACAGGATGCTTTCAAAGAGTTTACAGGTCAAAAGGAAGATACACTAGAAATGATAATTGTACTTTGGGGCCTACAGGTGAGACCATATCCATGGAATTAATACAAGTCAATAAATTAACAAGGATTGGATTCTGCCAGTGAGAATGAATCATAATTCTAGTAGAAGAAAGTCTTCTTTAGGCACTATAATTTGAACTGTATAATCAGTTGTATTACATGAAAAATTATTATACAGTGCCTTTTTCAATATACTGTGCCTTTTTCAAAAGGTGGGGAGCAGGATAGAGTCAATGTTTAGGGCAGTTTCTTAGAATATATTTCTGAGAGAAAAATTATTAGGTCTCAGTCAGCATTAGGCTTCCATGATTTTTACCAAATCTATGACTTAAGTATTAAAAGAGTTTTAGCTTCTCATAAGTTGTGTTTTGAAGCAATAGATTGAATTTGGTAAATTCTGAAGGAGTTCTACCTGACTTACATTTCATTCTAATGGAGGTGCTTTGCGTATACTTCGTAAAAATTTCTCTGTGAGTTGGCTCTTCTAATGCCAAAGTAATAGGAAGATCTTTTGCTATACAGTGTCTTGTTTCTGTAGTCTGTGTTCCAGGTAAAAATATTCATCTTTATTCTTGTCAGTAATGAAACTCATTTTTAAAAATGAGTCGCCTAGGCACGGTGGCTCACGCCTGTAATCCCAGCACTTTGGGAGGCCGAGGTTGGCAGATCACCTGAGGTCGGGAGTTCCAGATCAGCCTGACCAACATGGAGAAACCCCGTCTCTACTAAAAATACAAAATTAGCTGGGCGTGGTGGTACATACCTGTGATCCCAGTTACTCAGGAGGCTGAGGCAGCAGAATCACTTGAACCTGGGAGGTGTAAGTTGCGGTCAGCCAAGATCGCGCCATTGCACTCCAGCTTGGGCAACAAGAGTGAAACTCCATCTCAAAAAAAAAAAAAAAATTAGTCATTGAAGGTTTTTTCCTCTTCAGTATTTGATTCAAAAGTATTAAATAGTTAAGAAACTGGCTTATACATATTGGTTTGTAAACATTCATAGATCTCCCATCTATTTTTATATGTGGCT